>NC_000012.12:114884370-115035885 GCF_000001405.40 Homo sapiens
AACACGTGAAGTTTATCCCTTTTCTTTTCTTTATGACTCAGAATGAATCCTCCAGTGGGGGCCTTTCTTAGAGGCTCAAGTTCAGGAGAGCAACGCGAAGTTCTGTAGGGGATTCGCCTCACGTTGCCAATGGCTTTCAAAGGTTTCGGGGGTCTGCAAAGCCCCTGAAGAATTTGGCTCTGAGCAGTTTTCCCCTTCATTTCTAAATCCAACGGCAGATTAGGTGAAATGGAATCCGTATGTTTCTGATTCATTTACACTTAACTCATCAAAATGTTCCTTTTTATGAGCTATTTGATGTCCAGAAAGCCTTTTGAGTAGATTTTATAAGCCTTTTAAAGACTTTTCTCTGAGAAACAGGCAGTTGCATTTTGCCAAGAATAAACAAACTTGAACCTCAAAAGTGCAGGGTCTGCCAAGGATTCTGATACCAGAGGGCACGTTTTCCAAGTCACCCCTTCCTCGCTCCTAACGCCTTCTTCCATTTCTTCTCTCCCTCACCCCCCACTTCTTGGCCTCTCCGTTCCCTTCTTGGATGTCTTGCAGAACTTTTTACCCAGTTCCAGGCATCTGCACCTCCTTCCAACATATTTCTTATGTAGCTCCTCTTCTCAGCAGCAGCCACCCCCAAGCATCCCGTTCTTGCTGACCCATTACCTGCCTGGGTACAGTTGAGAACACCCAGAGAGGTACAGTTCATTCCCAGTAGCTCTGAAGTCACTGCAGATATGCACATCTCTCACCTGGCAGCTCATAAAGAGCCTTCATTATCCCGTGGATATATATAGTAAGGGCAGGCAGTAGCGCTTTTCTGATTCCGTGTTATACTCAAGGAAATTGAGTCTCAGAGGGGCTAAGTGAA
This sequence comes from Homo sapiens, assembly GCF_000001405.40. Lineage (NCBI taxonomy): Eukaryota > Metazoa > Chordata > Mammalia > Primates > Hominidae > Homo > Homo sapiens. The sequence continues at coordinate 114,885,233 of NC_000012.12, forward strand.
TGGCTAAGACCATTAGCTGAAGGGTGGTGAACTGGAAAGACTTCATTTTGTTTTGTTGTGCTATGCCACCTCCTAAGAATTACTCAAATGGCCACCTACAAATACTGTTGTGGGACTTGGTTTTGCTTTTTAAAATTATTATTATTTTTTTTATTTTTGAGACAAGGTCTCACTCTGTCACTCAGGCTGGAGTGCAGTGGCATGATCTTGGCTCACTGCAAACTTTGCCTCTGGGATTCAAGCGATTCTTGTGCCTCAGCCTCCAGAGTAGCTAGACCAGGACCGGAACTACAGGCAAGCACCACTACGCCTGGCTGATTTTTATATGTCTAGTAGAGACGGGGTTTCACCATGTTGACAAAGCTGGTCTTGAACTCCTGACCTCAAGTGATCCTCCCACCTGGGCCTCCCAATGTGCTGGGATTACAGGTGTGAGCCACTTGCCAAGTTTTTCTTTTTTTAGAGACAGAGTTTACTCTATTGCCTAGGTTGGAGTGCAGTTATGCAATCATAGTTCACTGCAGCCTCTACCTCCTGGGCTCAAGCGATCCTCTGGTCTCACCTTCTGGAGTAGCTGGGATTACAAGTGCATGTCACTATGCCTGGCTAATTTTTAATTTTTTTTTTGTAGAGACAGTCTCACTATGTAGCCCAGGCTGGTCTCAAACTCCTGGCCTCAAGCGAACCTCCTGACTTTGTCTTTCAAAATGCTGGGATTGTAGGCATGAGCCACCATGCCTGGCCACAGGCTTGGTTTCTCTAGAAGGTTACAGCTAAAGCGAAACCTTGGAAAGCAAAACAAGTTTCCATATGCTATTAATTCTTCATAACAGCCTTGAGGCTCAGCTATGGTATTTCCATTAGATAGATGAGAAAACTGAAGTTTAGAATATGTCATTTACATGAGGCCGCCCAGCAAGGCCAATGAAGCAAGGCATTAAGAATTAGTACTGGCATAGCTTGTCCTGTGTTTCCCAAAAGGTGACACGCATGATATTGGTAGGTGTACATGAATTGAGATGGCCCAAAAATGTGAAAATAAACGATTTTGAATCACATGGTGAGAGGGTTTTCCCTTTGCAAACCTCTTTCACTTCTCATTGGCACATACATAGTCTCAGTTTGGCCTGGTTTGTAATATGGAGAGAGAAGGCAGTATGCTTAGAACCTCTAATTGACAGCAATGTGCAGCTAGAATTTGATAGCTGTGTTTTGCTTTCAAGGTTTTTCTTTTTTGGGGTTACCTTTTATATATGAATGTGACAATGAATTTATATATACATGTAATATATAGTTATACAATTCCTTCCTTCCTTTCTTCCTTCCTTCCTTCCTTCCTTCCTTCCTTCCTTCCTTCCTTCCTTCCTTCCTTCCTTCTCTCTCTCTCTCTTTCTTTCTTTTCTTTTTTTCTTTTTTTTTTTTTGAGACAGAGTCTTGCTCTGTCGCCCAGGCTGGAGTGCAGTGGCACAATCTCGGCTCACTGTAACCTCTGCCTCCCGAGTTCAAGTGATTCTCCTGCCTCAGCCTCCAGAGTAGCTGGAATTACAGACATGCACTACCATGCTAATTTTTGTATTTTTTGTAGAGATGGGGTTTTGCCATATTGGCCAGGCTGCTCTCAAACTCCTGACTTCAAGTGATCTGTCCACCTCAGCCTCCCAAAGTGCTGGGATTACAGGTGTGAGCCACCGTGCCTGACCTGTCATACAATTTCCTTGTGACATTAAGTAAATAAAAAGAGTTGATTTAATATTGAAATATTGGAAGTACAGGCATACAACAGAGATATCACGGGTTCAGGTCCAGACTACCACAATAAAGCAAATATTGCAATGAAGTGAGTCACACAATTTTTTGGTTTTCCAGTGCATAGAAAAGGTGTATTTATGCAGGAACAGAAAACTTGCATAAATACTTATAAATGGGAGCTTATAAGTATGTTCTTACTTATAAGTGGGAGCTAAGTGATGAGAACATATGGACACATAGAGAGAATGGGCTAATACAGTCAGCTTCATTAGTTTAGATCATGTCCTGAATGGCATTTGTTTGGACATTGTTACAGTGCTCAGCGGCTTTGTATCAGAGTGTGCCTGAGGACTGCCACTACCCATTAATTAATATCTGCTGAATGAGGGAGTGAGAGAATGAATGAATGAAACATTTGATGACTTCCTTTCTAATCCCTGACTTGAAGAAAGAAAAGGTATCTTAGAAGGGACCAGGCCGTGCTGGGCTAGATCATAAGTTGATCTTAACTCCTTCAAAACATAGAGGTCCTTTTAGTGTTAGACCAGTGGTTCTCAACTGGGGATGATTTTGCCTCCCCAGGGGACATCTGGCAATGCCCGGAGACGTTATTCATTGTCACAGTGGGGTAGGATGAGGTGCTACTGGTATCCAGTGGATATAGGTCACAGATGCTGCTAAAGATTCTACAATGTACGGAATAGCCCCCACAACAAAGAATTACGTGGCCCAAAATGTTTATAGGGCCCAGGCTGAGAAACCCTATTTTGGAGGACTCAGCAGAGTCACTGAGACTGAAGGTGGAGAGGGTCTGAGAATACCTTGAAGAGAACAGTCTTGCTGAATCCTTAAAAATAACTTTACTCTCTGGCTGGCAGTCACTTAGCAAACCTTTTCACATTTCGGTTCTGCTGATGGATGCCTAGACAGGCAGGTATATATTTATAAAAAAAGATATTGATCGACAGGAGTAGTAATTTGTTGATGTGATAATCTCTAGTCATTGTTATGATAGCCCCAAAGCATGTTTGATTCCCGTATCCACAATTGATACCTTAAATCATCTGGTAGAAGTCCTGTTGACTTCTACAAGTTTTTTGTTTTGTTTTAGAGTGGAGCATTTATAATAAAATATTTCTAGGTATTTTTTTTTTTTTTTTTTGAGACAGGGTCTGGCTCTGTCACCCAGGCTGGAGTGCAGTGGCACAATCTTGGCTCGCTGCAACCTTTGCCTCCCAGGCTCAAGCAATCCTCCAACCTCAGCCTCCCGAGTAGTTGGGGCTACAGGCGTGTGCCACTAGCCTGGCTAATCTTTGTATTTTTTGTAGAGATGGAGTTTTGCCATGTTGACCAAACTGGTCTCAAGCACCTGAGCTCACGTGATCCTCCTGTCTTGGCCTCCCAAAGTACTAGGGTTACAGCCGTGAGCCACCATATCTGGCATAACATTTCTAAATAACTTTGAAGTAATTTTGCATATTGGTGCTTCAGATGTTGGTCAGAATCTCAAGCAGCTCCAATCTGGTACTGACATCAAAGGACTAGTCACAGTCACTTACATTGGCCACTGTATGTGTTTTTCTCTTGCACCAGACTGCATGCTCTGTGAGAGTAGGGACTATGTCATTATCACTGTTGTTCCTTCAGCACCTGGCATCTTTCCAGCACCCGAAGATGAGGTTAGTGAATATTATTTGAATGAATGAATCACAGTTCTTAAACTCATATTCTGTGCCAACATAATAAAACTGATGTTCAGGAGTGTTAAGTTACTTATTCAAGGTCATATAGCTAGACCTATGGAAGAAGAAACTAAGATGGTTATTGATGGAAGTTAACTGGTATTTCCATTACATCCAAAAGGGGGATGTGCCTGATTAAAGGTTCAGTGAGACTGAAACCTGTGCCGCTAACTGGACCATTTATCCATTATATGTAGTGAAAGCCTCAACCATGAAAGAAAAGAACAAAAAGCAAAAGAATGTTGTCAGAAGCACTGACTTTGAGGGACCTGAGTCCTCGATCATATGGAGTGGCCTTGGATTCTCTAAGAACCTCAGTCTCTTCATCTCAAAAGTGGGAATAATCAGAGAACCTGCCCTCATAAACTTGTCTTGAAGGTAGATTGCAGTCATACGCACAAAGTCCAGGTCCTGGTAGGCAGTAAGAACTCTGAAAAATGTGAGCTGTTAGTAATGTGTGCATGTGTGTGGCATATCTCTTGATAGAAAAAAGAAAAGCCACTGCATTTTGTCTTTCTGAGGACTAATAGAAAAATAACAATCAAGTGGTAGAAAGACAGAATACTGGCTTCCCCTCCCCTTCACTAAAAAAATATTAGCCTTTTGCTTAAGAGCACATAGCCTGTTGAGGAAAGTAAGACATAAAACATGAGCAGAGAGAGCAGATGCTGGGAAAATGCCATCTTTTTATTGGCACTATTAGAGGAAAATATATGAACTGTATAATGCCATCATAAATACACTTATTTGTAATGTCAAAGTAACAATGTAAGCCACAGTGCTTGTCTCTTTCATTCCCTCCTTTTGAAATGCTTCACAGCCAAGCATAAAATCAGAGGAAAATGTGAATACTATTTTAATTCATTAGGGGTTCCTAATGATATATTAGTCATATTATCCCTCATCCTTCAGGATGAGGTTCTTTGCTCTTTTGCAAGAATATTAATGCCACGTTTTGTCTATGGGGCAAAGCTTTTTCATTTAAAAACATTTTTAAAAAAATGAGGTGCTAGAGTACATATCTTGACAAACCATCAAATGGTCCTCACACCCATCCCCCCTCCCCATTCCAGTTGGTATGGGAAACTACTGTTCCCACCAAAAAGGCAGGCTGAGAAGAAATTATAACTTGTTAGAGCAGGGAGATAGTAAACGTTGCTGTACCCTTTACCCTTTTATGCTGTACCCTTTACCCTTTTATTCTCTTTTTTTCTCAACACACACACACACACACACACACACACACACACACACACACATTTCAGATATCTGGTCAACCCAGCATCCCACGGACAGACATTAAGTCTGAGTACATCAGAACATCTGGCCAATCCAAGAATCATGTGCACACACACACACACACACACACACACACACACGCCCCACATCCCACCACTATCACCAAATAGCACATTAAGGGATATCTCGGCTCCTGAGAGATACAGCATGTTGACCAGGCAACAATTTCTAGCTTAGGTATAGAAACAGCACTCCAAAATCCTGGTATAAAAGTATATGATTTGTTTATCTTCCCTTTTCTAAATTTAGTATACATTTGCCCCCGCTACTAAATCTGTTTTAGATTTTATTCTAAATTGGAGCATTTTTTTCTTCTAATTTCAAGATTTCTCTTATTCTAGGAGAGGAGCCTAACAAATTAATTTAGTTAGTGGAGGAAAATTGATTTTCCTTGTAAGTTTTCAGTTCAATTGTTTAGAATCCAAAGTGAAAATACTGTTTTTATGAACACAGGAGAAAGAGGAAAATGATGACAATTGTATGTGTGTGGGTGGGCAGTGGGGAGTGAGTTTGGATGAAATTAACTTTTAATACTAGATATTTAAATTTGAAACAAAAAAGGTGAGTCTTTTCCTGTGTCTTTTTCTTATTTTTCTTTTATGTTTCCTCCCCCTCTCCATTGTGAAAGGCATACATGCTGATTCTATAAGATTTGAAAAATAGGCAAAGTATTAAAAAAAATCACCCATAATCTAGCAGTACAGATGCTCATTGTTAAACATTTTGATTTATTTCCTTCAGGTTGAGATAATGTATATAGAATTTTGCATCATTTTTCATATACTGTCATATCTTGAGTATTTCCTCATGTCATTAAATATTCATTAGAATCATAATTTAAAATTATTGTGTAATCTTTCATTATACCACAATTTTACTAACTATTTTTAATTGATGGATATTTAGCTTTTAAAAAACCTTTATTATAATTAACATCAGTGTGATGAACATCTTTATGCGTAAGTCATTGCCCCTGTGTTGCACCCAAGGACCAAGGTTGTTCAGGATGGCTGGTGCATAGAATATAAGGGGTGACACAGAGAGATAGGGTTGGATAGGTAGGCAAGAAACAGGTCTTTCCAGCCCCTGTATATCATGCTTAAAGTTTTGGACTTTATTCAAATAATAACCACAGTAATGATGATGATGAAGATGACCATAAAAGGCAATATTTACTGAGTTCTTTATTGTTTACTAGATACTTTCCCGAGAAGTTTTAATTTATTAACTCATTTAATTTTTGCAACAACTCTGAGTTATAGGCACAGCTTGCAAAACCAAAGCAGAGAGGTTGAGCCATCTGGCCAATGTCTTAAGGCTGGTAAGACCCCAGACTGTAGAGCTGACATAGTTCGTCATTTGGTTCATTGCCTTATAGTAATAGGGAGCCACTGAAGGGTTTTGGATGGCTGGATGGGGAATATGATGAGTTAATTTGCATACTTAAAAAGGCTCATTCTGTTTACAGTAAGGAGAAGAGATGGTAGGGGCAAGAGTGGAAGTAGTAAGACCAAATCCAACAGAGAAATAGAGGTAGTGAATGCTGGTGGCATTGGAAAAGAGGGAAGAGAATGAATTTGAGGAATATTTAGTGAGCTGGATTGACAGGACTTGAATCTGGAGAGGGAGGGACAGGAAAACTCGAATGCAGGGTGGAGTCTTGTGTTGGGATTAAGGGACAGTTGAATGACCTGCCTAACGTTAGCCAGCTACTAAGTGAAGGAGGTTGGATTTTGAGCACTAAAGTCTATGGTCTGGAGACAGTCTGGAAGAAGAAAGCTGTCCTGGACAGGACCCAGAACTAGAATTGGAGGATGGGCCCCAAACAATACAAGCTGGAACACTATCATATCGAGAATGCTGTCCTATGTTTAGAAAAGACAAGACGTGGAGGTTCAATACAACAAGGGGCTCCCCATATCAGCCACCTTCTGCCTAACACATAAGAATCTGCTTTGTGTGAAGAAGGGCCAGGAGACAGGAGAAGATGCAAGGGTAGGAAGCGGTCACTTCATTCATTGCCTAACTCAAGGAAGCCACTTAGACGAGACAACTAGCTCCATTTAGGGGCTTCTGTAAGTGGCGTGACTGAGGGTTGGGGGTCTATTTATTTGAGAAGACAGGTAATAATGACAGGTTGAGCCTTTAAATGTAAATCTAATTGCATAGGTTTTCTTTTAGGGAGTGCTTTGGGCAAATGTGGTGACAAATTGGGGGAAACACATGGGTTTTGGAGATGGCCATTTTAAACTTGAATCCCAGTGTTTTCATTTTTTTTTGTGCGTGACCACAGGAAAGCTGGCTTGCCTCTTTGAACAGCTGTTTATTCAACCATGAAACAGGGATAATATGGTTGCTCAAAATGAAATTGTCTATCTATCTATCTATCTATCTATCTATCTATCTATCTATCTACACACACATACACCAACCACAGGACTTGAGATATATACAATACATCAACATGAACTCCATTTTATTTCTCCTACAACCTCCACTTGGCTTTCTTCCCCACTTTGAAGACCTTGGTTAGCCTCTTGATGCTCCTGAGCTTGTAATTTCATAGTTCCTAATTTGAAGGTTGATCTCTGGAAGACGGGTGGATTATCTAACACTTATGTAGCTCTTTGTAATGGGCAAAGCACTTTCCAACAATATTCTCATTTAACACTCTTTACCTCAGCTCTGTCAATTAGGTGTTAAAAAAATTCCCATTTAACAGTTAAAGAAACTGAGTCTCAGAGAGGCAATATGACCAGCCCAGTCTCCAGAAAAGGTATAATTAGGACTTGGACCCTGGTCTCTCAAGCTTGGATTCCTTGCTCTTCCGTAATCCTCCCTCTCTTCTGCAGTACCAGGAGGAAGGGAAGCCTTGACCGCATATACAAACTGTTGTTAGTTTAAAAACAAAGTACTGCCTTTTCCATTACAACAGCTCTCTCTGGTCTGGCCTACAGTTCACCCACATTTCTTCTCCCGTGCTGGCAATGCCTCTGAGAGCTCAGGGATGGCAGCTATTACCCAACAAGGAAGAAGCAAAACTTTATCCCTTCCTCCCCGTCAGTTCTTTCTTTCTGAACTCAGCCTCAGAGCTCCATGAACATATTAGCACTTGAGCCTGCAGAGGTTGCACACTGTGTTATTTGTGTTTACATCTAATGGACAATGACCAAGCCACTGTCATCTAAGACTGTGTAGCTGATATCAAAAACACAAAACTCAGGCCGGGCACAGTGGCTCAAGCCTGTAATCCTAGGACTTTGGTTGGCCGAGATGGGCAGATCACTTGAGGCCAGGAGTTCGAGACCAGCCTGGCCAACATGGCAAAACCCCATCTCTACTAAAAATACAAAACAATTAGCTGGGCGTGGTGGCAAGTGCCTGTAATCCCAGCTACTCTGGAGGCTGAGGCAGGAGAATTGCTTGAACCCAGGAGGCAGAGGTTGCAGTGAGCTGAGATTGTGCCACTGCACTCCAGCCTGGGCGACAGAGCGTGGGTCTGTCAAAAAAAAAAAAAAAAAAAAAAAAAAAAGACAAAAAAAGTCCAGAAATCCAGACAAGTTAGTGACTTCCATAAGGTAGGATATGTAATTGTCATAACTGTGGGCTTTGGAGTTAAGCAGTTCTGGGTCCGAGTCTGAGCTTTGCTAGTCACAAGCTGTGTGGCTTTGTACAAGGGTCTTTATTTATTTAAGACTTAGCTTCCTGGCTGGGCGTGATGGCTCATGCCTGTAATCCCAGCACTCTGGGAGGCTGAGGCCAGTGGATAACTTGAGGTCAGGAGTTCGAGACCAGCCTGGCCAACATGGTGAAACCTCATCTCTAATAAAAATACAAAAATTTTCAAGAAATGGACCCAGGGATCCCAGGCTATAGCTGGGCATGCTGGCGCATGCCTGTAATCCCAGCTGCTCAGGAGGCTGAGGCAGGAGAATCGCCTGAACCTGGGAGGTGGAGGTTGCAGTGAGCCAAGACTGCACCACTGCATTCCATCCTGGGCAACACAGCAAGACTTTGCCTAAAAAAAAAAAAAAAAAAAAAAGAAAAAGAAAACTTAGGCTGGAATCTCTAGGCAAGCAGTGGTATTTGCGTGTTTTGTTCACTGCTGCACCACCAGTGCCAAGAACAGTGCCCAGCACACAGCAGTTGCTCTTACAATAATTGTTGAACAAATAATTGAATGAATCTGTCAAACAAAGCTAGTGATACCTCCCTCGCAGGGGTGTAGGGAGTATGTGATGAGGCAAGGCATAGAAAGTGCTTAGTTTAGTGCCTGGCCCATTGTGAGCATATGATTAATGGTACCTGCTATTGTTGTGATTGTTATTCTCTTTGGAGGTGGCACCACTTGGTTCCATTATTTAAAAAAAAATGTCAACATATTCAGATGTCCTCAGAAAAAGGTGCTTTGCTGACAGTTGCTTTAAGCAAGGGAGAAAACTGTGCCCGCTGATGTGCAGAGAACAATATAAGGAGGAGGGCACATTTTGTCACTTCCAGCCCTTGGGGCTGGACTACCTTTGCCCCAAGTCCTAGTGAGTTTAGGAAACTTCTTGAAGTGCACAAGGAAAGGAGCAGAGCTTCAGATTTGGTCCGAAGTTCTGTGCAGTTTGAGGGGAGGCTGTTGCCATGAGGGAAACCAGAGAGTGCAGTAATTCAAGACCCATTGCACTTTGTAGAAGAGTCCCAGGGATTTTGACTTGCTGTTCAGCCAATCATCAGTCTGAGTAATTGAGCTCTGATGACCTCAAGGTCTCCCTTGGTATTCCCAGAGACACGGTTCTGTCTCCTGTCTCCTGAAAGCCATCAGCTTCTGTGCAGAGGGACCACGTGGCAACAGTGGGAGGGGAGATTGGGTTTTATTGCTAGGAGAGTCAGTTCCTCTGATGAACAGAACCAGTGCTTGATGGTGTTACCACACCGCTTACCCACACAATACCACACGCCAATGTGACATTATAGTGCAACTCAACAACAGTCCTGAACAAACACAGTATTGCATCTCAACATGTCTTCTGAAATAATACTACAGCCTACGTGGCACCAGAGATCAAAATAATACTATGGCAATACAAAATTACATGCCAATATTCTACTCAAATTTTGACCATAAATTCAACAACATCTTCAATACAGCACGGCTCAATGCAATGCACCATGCAGAAGCAATGTTCTTAAGAAATCACTCTTCAACCCAGTATGGCTCCTCCAGACAACTGTGGCGCAACACATCCCAAGCCAATCTAACGCTGATTCAGCAATGCCTAACTAGCCCAAATAAGTGGAAAGAGAATACCAAATAGCACCATTGCTTTGGAAAACCCAGTTTCTCTCTTAACCAAACTTTGAGGTTGTGTATGACTGGGGCTTTCCCAACATCCGTCCCATTGGATTTGCCAACATGCAATATTTCCTTTGACCTTGACTGCTGTCTCCCTTCTCTCCTGTTCCCTTGGCCACCATTAGGCTCAGCTAACTGTGGTCGGGGATGTTGATGCCAATTTGGGTCTTGGGGATGGCTCCAATGGAGAGATGGGGGGGAAGATGCCAGGCCTGGAGAGTGCCGTGGACTGAGTTCTCAGCATCCCTGGAAAGGGGGCTGTGCACTGGCAGTTCTGTGTGGTCTGCTTGTCCATCCAAGACAAACCTCAAACCCAACACTTGATTTGGCAGATGGGAAAAAATGGAACAAAGTTTGCTCCCTTTTTCAAGAAATGGACCCAGGGATCCCAGGCTATGCTCCACTCTTGGTCTTTTTCCTTTTTAAACAAACCGCCTGGCTTTTAAGATCTTCAAAATCCCATTAAAGGCTTTTACCCCTTCATATATTGGAGGCGTTTGATGAAAGGGGGTAAAGGGGAGGGAAAAGATAATGGGGCCTCAGAGAACAGAGACCAGAGGCCTTAATTTCGCCTGTCTCCCCTGCCGGTAATGGTGTTGGATGTAAACACTCCTCTGGTGAGCACTGGAGCCTGATTACAGGATGGCTGGGGAAAGAGGAAGTGTTTGCAAACCGCAAGGAGGAATGTCGCCCTTTGAAGGAGTTTGGCATTTATTTTTTGCCTCCTCCACTGTCCCCCCACAACCCCAACCCTACTACTTTTCTCCACTGCTTTCTTCTCTGGGTTCCTTGTACTGTAAACACAGTGACAGAAATTAGATGTGGGCAAATCTGTTAAACATTTTAAGTTGAAGTGGGGTTGGCAGTTGTCTTACTCCGTGGGATATGCGAGACGAAGCTAATAACTTCGTAATGGGCCTTTTGTTTTTGTCTGGGGACTGGTGGGAGGGAAGCAGAGAGCAGGAGCCAGGGGTGAGGAGGGGGATGCGGGATGGAAAGTCGGGCCAGGCTGCTATTATGGAACGAGCCCAAGCTTCCAATGTTGGGGACCAAGTGAGCTGGACAGGGCCTTGACCCCAATGTGTTCAAAGGGCAGCCAATGACTGTCCCCCGTCAGCACGCCACTTGCCTCTCATTCATCAGGGCACATGCTCTCTGTTCTCCTAGTCACAAAGCACCTCTTCTTGACAGCTTCATGCTGCAAACTTCTATTGCCACCTTCTCATTTGTTCCATCTGTGAAATTCCCAGTGATGTCAATGAGGTTCCATATGCAAAACACGTGCAATCTGTGGGACCCAGAGCGAGGCCAGGGAGCAAAGCGTTGGCTGTGTGGGTTTTATGCCTAGATGTCTTGCTGTCTGGAAACCTCTGCCTGGGATCAAGTTCCTGTTCTTAATTCTGGTCAGATGGCTGGAGTAGGAGCTTGGAAACCCACAACTGGAAATTCCATCGAATGATCATGTAATTAATTCAACTAATATGTATTGAGGGCATACTATGCAGCAAAGGGGGGCTTGATGTTGGGGATTTGAGGGTGGGTAAGACAAGCTTGGCCTTTGCTTTCATGAGGAGCTTAGTCTAGTGTGCTGTCAATTAAATATATAATTTCACAAATGATTATTGAATTGCAACAGGAGCTGCAGGAAAGAGGAGACATATAGCATAAAATGGCATGCCTAGTTTAGTCTAGCTTGTAGGAGGAGGTGGGTGCAGGAGTCCATTTTTTATCTTCAGTAGGATGACAGTTTAACCCAGGAATTTTCAACCTAGGGCCTAAGGACACTTGGTTCTTAGGCGTTCCATAAACTCCAATGTATCCACTGTCTTCCAAGCTATCCAGAGTAGATGTCTGTCTCCTGGCCTTTCCTGGAATTTTCCAAGGTTGAAAATATTATTACATCCCTTAAACAAATCTATTTTGATGTTCTAACCCTCCTGGCTATGTGCCAACCTGATGCTTTTGGGTGCTTTATTAGTTATAATTGCAATTGACAAGACTGGGGACATTTATTTGATGCCTACTTTAGGCCAGTGCTACGCTGGCTTGGCAAGAATGTTGCCATACATGATTTGATTTCTTTCTCACAGAAGAGGTTAATGGAGAAACTAAAGCTTAGACAGATTGAATCAATTCTTCAGCTACTAAAGATTACACAGCTACTAAATGACAGAACCAGGATTCCAACCCAAGACTTCAATATCTTAATCTATTACTCTTCCCCAGTAATACCTTTCCATTCATAGCCTTTTTAGTCTGTTGATGCCTGACTTTTACATTAGATGATAAATTTCCTAAGGGCAAGGAATGTGCCCTTTAGCTCTTTGTTATCAGTATCCTCAAATATATACACGGAATTTGCTATGTGGATGGTTCTGTGCTATGACTAGGGAAACTTAATACTTCTTTATTTCTGTTTATTAACATTTCATTCATTGTGGGTGATATATTTTTAATCCATATGTGTCGAGCCGTTGTCCTTCCCAAATTTAATGTCTAGGCTGCCTTTTATTTCTTCTCAGGACTAACACATTTTTGACCAACTCTCTGCTCTGTACATTCTTCTGGATGCCCCAGTTACCGTTTGCACAAAACTAGACAAAGTGATTCAGAAAAAGCTGTTGTAGAACTTCTCAAAGAGACCAAATCAAAAGGAGATCTGTTCAGGTGTTAGCAGAGTTGGAAGGAAAGCTGCTCCTGGGCTCATGGGGTGTCTCCAGCTTGGTCCAGTCACCTGGGAGAGATATGGCAGATTGAAGACTGTCACGAATTCTCTATTCTTCCTCATTCTGAGAGGTGGAGTCTAATTTTCTTCTTCTTGAACCTGTCTGGCTCTAGCAACTTGCTCAGCCAGTAGAATGTGGTGGGAGTGCTATTCTAGAACTTTCAAGCCTAGGTCATAAGAACTTTTCAGCTTCTCCCAGGGCCCCTTGGAACACTTGTTCTGGGAATCAGCAGCCATGCTGGGAAGAAGTCCAAGCAACCTCATGACAAAGTCCACATGGAGGGGAATCAAGGTCCCAGGCTGACATGACAGTTTTGCCATGTGAATGAGCCGTCTTGTAAATGAATACTCTATCCTCACTGGAACTATTCCATCTGACACTGCATGGAACAGAATATGCCATCTCTGCTGATCCCTGCTAAATTACAAATTTGTGAGCAAAATGAATGACTGTCGTTATCTTAAGTTCCTAAGTTTTTAGGGTGGTTCTTCACACAGCAAAAGATAACTGTAACAGAAATCTCTTCTCCTACAAGACTGGCCATCTGTCTTATTGATGCAGATAGGAGCAGAGAAACTTGGGCTTCTCTAGGCTAACATCAGTTATTTCAAAATCCATTTGCTGAGCATTGCTTTGAAACCATGGTTTTATCCTTAGAAGCTTTCTTTGGGGGGTGGTGAGGAATTGAGGTGAAAGGTTGGGCAGAGCTACAGATCCCATTCCTTCTTCTACTTTAACTCTTTTGTATACTGGGATCCTAATTATAGCTAATGTCAGTCATTCATAAAATGCTTCTTACATGAAATACACTATCCTAAGCACTTTCCATAAATTATTTATTCCTCATAACAACACTTGAATTAGGTACTGTTATTGTTCCCATTTCATGGAAGAGAAAATTGAAGCCCAGAGAGAATAAATAACTTCCCTAAAGCCACATAGCTAGTGTGGCAGAACGCAGACTCAAACTCAGGATATCTGGCTCCAGAATTGATGCTCAGAACAATTCTCTATATTGTTTTACATAAATTTAAATTAGAACACAAAGGCTTTATGCTGAAAGAAATGCCAAAAAGTACTGTGTTTAGCATTTACTAAGTATTTTCCATGGCTTATCATGATGCTAGACTCAGGGGATTTAGAGATGAATCGATAATAATTACAGTTAAGCATTGTGTTAAATGGCTTGCTAAACTACATTATCTCATTTAATTTTAACAGAAATCATGTTATTACTCTTATCCCCATTTAACAGATGAGAAAATTAAGGCTCAGAGAAATTAAGGAGTTTGCTTGAGGCCATATGGGTGGTCTGACCACAAAGTCTCTTCCTAACTGCGTTGTGCTTGGTCGACGCCCTCTGGTTTTTCAGAATCTGGTTGGGGAGATGGACTAATGAACAGATGAAATATGAAGATACAAATGCTTTAAAGTAGGGATGTTATAAGGTGCTGGGGTGGGAGGGCATGAAGGAGAAAGGACCTAATTTTGCCCAGGGAAGAAGAGAAAGGATTGTTTTCAGAGGTGCTGACAGCTCAGGGATAAACAGTTAGACTTTGCCAGTCACACAAAGGAGATAGAGGTCATTCCAGGTGGAGTTGGGTGGGGAGAGGGTACAGGAAGTGTAAAGGTGAAAAAGCTAGAAGAAATGATACATGAAGGAAGCAAGCAGCACACATCTGCATTGCAGTGGACATCAGCAGACAAGGGTGCCGGAGAAACTGGCAGAGCAGCCTACAACGAAGCGTTGTTCTCTACCAAGTGCTTTGAACTCATCTCCGACAATGGCCATGCTTTCAAGATGGTTGACACTGACTCAAAAATGAGGGGCATCCACATAAACCTGTCCTTGCCGTTTTGGCTCCAGCTCCTACCTACTGTTTAAAAGCAGCATTTGCGGAAAGCAGAGGTCTCTGCAATTCATATAAGCCTGTCTCGTTCCCCAAGAACACATCATTTATTTCCTATAAGTGCCTGTCTTCCTCTTCTTCAAATATGGTCAGGGTTACAACTTTCTCTGCTTCCTGGGGGAGTTGCCCACTCTACACAGTAATTACTCACTCCATAAAGGCTGTCTCCAAACTCTCCTTCTCGGCCCTTTTTTCCCTGATCCTTTGCAACTGACCAGTTAAAGGGTGAGCACACTGCCGCTCTACTTGGCAAAAGACAGTCGCCATTTTGGATCTCATCTGAAAATGGTTGTCCCTGGGGAAAGCATCCTTTTCTCTGCTCCCTCGTTTTCTTAGTTTGAAGTCAGTGTAATTTATTTTGTGCCTTTCTTCCTCTTTTCTACACATCCAACCAGAAAAATGGAGATTTATCTATTTATAATATAATTATAAAGTTGATCTCATGCCCAAGTCATGCGACGTCCACATGGATTAGGGGTGGTGAATACAAGCTTCTAAGTCATAAGCACAACTACAAATACAACTTTATTTAACCTCTTTGAGTGTCATTCTTCTCATCTGAAATGAAGTCATACATCCTGTTCAAATCGTCTTTATCACATCCAGCAAGGCAGATGGGACAGAGATACAGAAACATTTTACACACACTATAAAGTGCCAATAGCCATAATATCAGCAGTAGCTAAGTTAGTAATAATAATGGTTTTTGAAAATGTGGAAGAATGCTTTAATAAAAGCTGGACTTCATCGGTTTGGAATTCCACTTCCTCTCTTTAAGAGCTGTGTGACCTTGGGCAAGTTGTTTAGCCTTTCTGTGCCTCAGTTTCCTCCACTGTAAAAAGATGTTAATGTCTTCCTCAAAGAGTTGTCAGAAGAATTAAATCAATGAACACAAAAGTACTTAGAATAGTGCCTGGCACATCATAAGCACTATACAAATGTTTGTTATTGTTATTGTTATTATTCTTTACAACTTGTTTCTACGTTTGCAGGTGGAAATTTTAACTTCTTTGGATAAAAATGACTCTCCAGTTTCAGACCCTCATATTCTGTAATTTATTCTAGTTAATTATAAAAACTAGTAACATGAATAATTGAGTAATAAGTGGACCCCTCATTCCTCAGAAAAGACAGTTATTTGCAAAAAGGAAGTTTTGGATGCAGGCCGTAATTTTAGGCATCTTAGCAATCAAAGCCCTAAACACACTGGGCTGTTTCAGGTTCTTTGTTGTACAACACTACGGCTTTAGGGCAGTGGAATTAGAAAACGGTCCACTCTAACACAGCTCAATTATTTGTCCGCAGTAGGCGGTTGATAAATACTTTTATTAAGACATTTATTATGAGAAGTCTTTGTATGGTTTTCGTACTTACCTTGTTAGTGATTGCTCTGATAAAGGTGTCTGATAAGGTCCAGGCTTGGCCTCATCATGAACCAAAATTAACACTCTGGGAACTCTGGCTTTCTGCCCCTCTCCCGGCTCGGCTATGCTATGCATGACTGTCACCTATTACTCACCCAAAGGATGGTAAAACTTTTAAAATCCACTCCCCCAAAAACCTCCT
This sequence comes from Homo sapiens, assembly GCF_000001405.40. Classification (NCBI taxonomy): domain Eukaryota; kingdom Metazoa; phylum Chordata; class Mammalia; order Primates; family Hominidae; genus Homo; species Homo sapiens. The sequence goes on from NC_000012.12 coordinate 114,901,566, forward strand.
CACAATGAAAATGTATGAAAGAGATTAAGGCACGGAATGAAAACTATTTTTATAGGCAGTTTGGCCTGAGCTTTGAAGTTCAATAGGGAGTGATGTATTGCTATCAGCTTGGATTTCACACCTATTCAATTCTGTAGCCAGGTAATGATGAACAACCTCCTTAGGGTATAGAAGAATGAAACAAAATTAAGGCAAGCTGTGAAATGGCCCCCTTGCTCCAATTTCATCTCCGGGATAGATTGGAAGTTGCCGGAGTGTGTTTATACATTTTTCCCCTTTAAATTAGAAAGGTGGGGTGACGATACTGAAAATATTTTGCAAAAAGAAAAAATTATCGCTTATTATCCTAACACCCAAAGACAAAACAAAATTTTTATTTTAGAGTGTTACTGGTCAGTTCTGGTTCCTATGCAGAGGTACGATTACAGAGTTGCATGCGGAATTGACTTTAAAAGCATTTCATTCTTCACTAAGCATTTGATCATCCTTTGTGCTTCATTTTTCCCAAGTGAAAAAACAAACATAAAGTTATCATCTTGTTTGGAAAGTGAGCATTGCTGCATCATGTTTCTTTATTTTTTATTTTGATTTATTTTACTTTAAGTTCTGGGTTACATGTGCAGAACATGCAGGTTTGTTACATAGGTATACATGTGCCATGGTGGTTTGCTGCACCTATCAACCTGTCATCTAGGTTTTAAGCCCCGCATGCATTAGGTATTTGTCCTAATGCTGCATCATGTTTATTACCAAGCATCTTCTTTCGTACAGAGCTTTATTTTTTCGTCCTTGGAGGTTTTCAAATTGAGTGAGCAGCATGTTGCATTTCTGGAACAAATGGCCTTCATTTAGAGTCTTTGCCCATATGGAAAACCATTGTGTCCAAGATTGGAAGTGAAATTATTCATTGGCCTTCAGATTCTTACAGTGAGGTAAGGTCCACCCTCTCAGATCCAGCTGTGCTCGTCTCCGATCCAGTATCGATACCCAGCCTGCTCTCTGAGATCACCATGGGAACAGGGAAGCTTCTCCCAGCATCTGCACTCAATAATTACTCTGGGATCCCCTCCTCCCACCCCATGTAGCCCTTGGACATGCCAAGCTTGTTCTTATTAGGACTTTTGCATCTGCTATTCCCACTGTCTGCGACCCTCTTGCCAATTTCTGCATGGCCAGCTCCTCATCACTTAGGTCTTTCTGCTCCAATGTCACCTTTTCAGAGGCCCTCTCCAACTATCCTCACACGCCACCCAGTCATCATTCTCTGCCCCATTGCCTTATTATTTCATCCATTGCACTTGCCACTCTGAAAGTACCCTACTTATCTGTTTGTGCACATGCCCTGACACGTGTCTACTTCTGTGTACCCACACCTGGCCCCATGTTGAGTGAATGAATGAGAGAATAGCTCACTTAGATCCAGCCTGCTTCACTTCACCCCACCTCGTGAATGCACCTTAAGCGTTTATTCAGGCTGGGATGGGAACAGGACACTAAACCGCGGCTCCAATTATTTGCATTGTGATTTACAACTTATTAGCATTTATTTATGCAGCACCTGTGAGGAGCATGTGGGCCCTGTCATGAGGGCTCAGCACGCACTGTGTTGTTTCATCCTCGTAACAACTTTGTATTATGAGTAAGCTGACTTTCCCCTCTTTCCGTTTTTCTGTTCCTCACATACCAACTCAGTCACTCACAGTTTCAATGGCCTGGCTATTTGCCTTCTCCTGAGCTAAGCCCTCCAGCCTGGACTTCGCCTTTCTGCTTTTACCCTGCCCTAGGACGGCAGGGAGATTTACTGGACCGGTCCACAAAGGCAGCAGAGAGGGGGAATCTTATAGAAATTCAATGTCATTCAGTAAAGCATTTCTTGAAATCTACTACACGAAGGGATGCCGTGATAGAGAAAGCTATGCCTGATCCCTTCTGAAGCCTGTAAAATATTATCTCCCTCCCTCCCTTTGTCCTTCTCTCCCTCCTCTCTGTCTCTCGCTCACCTCTTCCTTCACACCACATCATCGGTGGGAGAAGCAAGATACAGGCAATGGTTGCTCAGCAGGAAGTTCAGGAGACTGCGGGCTCCTCTGGGAACCTCTTGTGCTCCGTGGATCCTGGGAACTGCTCATCCACATGGTTCAAATGAAATGAGGTGTGTGTGAGTGTGAGTGTGTATGTGTGTGACAGTGTGTGAGTGTGAGAAAGTGTGTGAGACTGTGTGTGCATGTGTGTGAGGCTATGTGTGAGTGTATGAAAATGTGTGGAAGAGTGATGAGAATGTGTGAGTGTGAGAATGTGAGTGTGTGAGTGGAGAGCATGAGAATGTGACAGTGTGAGTGTGTGTGTGCATATATGAGTGTGAAAGTGTGTGAGAGTGTGAGGGACTTGTGCATGTGCATGAGGCTGTGTGTATGAAAGTGTGTAGGAGAATGCGAACAAGTGAGAATGTGTGTATGAGAATGTGAGCGTGTGTTTGAGTGTATGGAGACTGTGAGAATGTGACTGTGCAAGTGTGTGCATACGTGTGTGAAAGTGTGTGAGTGTGTGGAAATGTGTGTGCATGCGTGTGTGTGAAAGTGTGAGAGTGCATGGGAATGTGTGAGTGTGTGAGAGTGTGTGTGTACATGTGTGTAAAGCATGTCTGATTGTGTGGGAGTGTGTGTGCATACATGTTTGTGAAAGGGTGTATGTGTGTGGGAACGTGTGACAGTATGAGTGGCTGGAGAGAGAGGGCAAGTGTGTATGAATGTGAGAGTGTGACAGTGTGAGAGTGTGTGCACACTGTGTGGGGGGAATGTGTGAGTGTATGAGAGTGTAAAGGTGTGTGAGGGAGAAAGTGTGTGAAAGTATGAGTGCATGTACATGTAAGTGTGTGAAAGTGTGCGGGGGAACATCAGTGTGTGTTAGAATCGTGTGTGATTGTGAGTGTGACAATGTGTATATGAGTCTGAGAATGTGTACGAGTGTGTATGTGAAAGTGTGTGTGAGAAAGTGTGAATGTATGCATGAGCATGTGTGAGAAACAGTGTATGAGCATGTGTGTTTGCGTGAGAAAGTGTATGTGTGTAAGCGTGTGTGAGAAAGTGTGTATGTGAGTGTGTGTGAATGTGTGCACATGTGTGAGTGTAAAAGTGTGTGTATGTGTGAGGAAGTGTGCGAGAATGTGAGTGTGTGTATAAAAGTGTGTGTGTATGTGTGTGAACATGTGTGAGAGTGTGTGAGAGCATGTGTGTTAGTGTGTGTGAGAAAGTGTGTGTATGTGAGTGTGTGTGTGTGAACATGTGTGGGACACAGGGGATGACTCAAATGCTGAGTCACCTTGGCTGTTGTGCCTGCCCAGCAGGTCACTCAGCTGCATAGTGAGATGGGAGAGAAGTGGGGCCTGTTTTTCACAGTTGGTACTCAGGTGGAAAGCTCCCTGTTTAAAGTGGTCAGGAGGAGGGTGCCCAGCCCACCATGCATCTCATGACTATTCAGAGGGAACAACATACGGAACCAGCTCCCAGGCTCCAGCATTTGTCCATTGTGAATTAAAGATTTCCGCTTCCTCCGATTTTTGACTGGCTAGAATCAGCTAGGCCACCCGCAAGTTGGTTCACTGGTGGGGCAGGAGGATTGGTACAGAATGAAGATTCCCCTCTCCCCCTTCAACTTTCCTGTCAGAAACTTTCTCCTCCCAACAGAAGTCCTTTGGAATATCCTTGTGACACCATGCTTCTTGGAGGCCCCCTCTTTGCTGATGGCTGAAGGCTCAGTCAAAACTTACTTGACTTCCTTTTAACCGCTCCCTAAGCTCTGTCCCTCATACTTATCCCTCAGCTCCCCGTTCTGAGATCTTGTCTCCCTGGTTCTGAGCTCCATCCTAAAGGCTCAAGTGAGAATCTAAGGCATTGAATTTCAGCAAGAATCTCATTTCCTTCTTGCCCCCAGTTGACTATACTCACACTATCTTCTAAATCTTCTCCCAGTGAGAGGAAGTAAGGTAATTTTTACTTTTCATTTAACAGTTGGGGGAAATGGAAGAACACAAAGTTTATGGAACTTCCCCATGGTCCCTTCCATTTGTGAACTTCCAATTCACAAACTCAAAACCCAATTGTCTGACTTTAAAGCCTCTTTGTCCCCCTGTGGCCAATATTTGACTCTCCATATTGCCAAGAAACTAGAGGCAAGACCAGGGGTCACTGAGTACCCAGCTGCTGCACCTACTCACTTCACTCCTTCCCTCACAGAGCCTGCGACTGGGTTGGGGATGAAGCCACCAACTCATTGCCCAAGTGGTATCGCTTCATGTTTGTTTTTCCATCTGTAAAATGGGCTTAATAATAGCAGGGGTGTTGTGGGCCAGATTAATTAATGTTTGGACAAGTTCTTTGAGATTACCTGGATGAAAGGTGTGAGGGGAGTGCCAAGGCTTATTAGTGCAGAGGCATTTGCCAGGACTAATTTAGGATTCCCCATGTTTCCCAGTTAGCAGCCTCCATAGTGATCACTTACTCAGGGAATAGTTAGAGGGCAGGCAATATCCCAACATCAGGCCTGGCTTGTGATGGCAGAGGGTATAGGTTATGGTGGCTTTTCATGAGAATATTGCCTCATCCCTCATTGGTGGTTTGTCCTTCCATGTTGAAGTCTATGGTCCCACTCATGTATGGCCTTTGACTTAAGGATATGAGTGGAAAGAGGACAACAGGATCAATAAGATGGGCTGAGGGCCCACTGAATAGATACACCCCAATACAACTTTTGCCTCTGTATAAGCAGGATAATGACCATAGGTGCCTTAGGTAGCCAAAGAACCTGGAAATCAACAGAAAAAATAAACAGCTACCTATGCATGGAAGGAATGGGTGATGAATACATTTTACACAAGGATATCCACACAGTCGCAGAAAGACACAACCTCTATCAGACTGTAACTAAAAAAGCCAAAAAGAAATTTCTCCTCTTCATTCTGCCTCACTTTTTATTATACTGTTCAATTATACTTTTTTTTAAATAAATGTTTCGGAACTGTTTTGGATTTACAGAAAAATCATCAAGATAGTATAGAGCTCTCACCTGTCCTACATGCAGTATCCTCTATAATTAACGTCTTACATGAGTATGGTATATTTGTCACAGTGAATGAACCAATATTGATGCATTATGATTAACTAACACCCATACTTTATTATTCAGACGTCCTTAGTGTGTCCTCGTGTCCTTTTTCTGTTCTAGGATCTCATCCAGGATACCACACTACATTTAGTTGTCCCATCTCCTTAGGCTCCTCTTGGCTGTGGCCATTTCCCAGACTTTCTTTGTTTTTGATGACCTTGACAGCTTTGAGGAGTACTGGTCAGATATTTTGTAGGATGTCCCTCAACTGGGGTTTGTTTGATGTTTTTCTCATGATTAGACTAGGGCTATGGGTTTTGCTAAGTCAGACAGACATGACTCTATCCTCAAGAAGCTCACAGTCTAGTGGAGAAGTTTGACATGGCCATTTTTGAATGCACAGTTTGTTAAATGGTGCTAATGTCATCCTGGGATACCCTTGCTGCTTTTAAAAGGCACACAGTACTGGAATGACCAGCCAGACCCTTGTCTCATTTCTCTATCTTGGTGCTCTCTAACAGAAACAGAGAATAATTGGTTCATCTATGAAGGGTAGCGGGTGCCTGTTGAAGAGACTATCATAGTTGACCCATATCAGAGCAGAAACAAAGCAAATTACCAAATCAATTGACTTCATATGCCCTTCAGCCTTAGTTGATGGTTTAACTCACACACCTGAAGGACCTGATTATTTTAATCAGACTTGCTATTTTTTCTGGTTTAAGTAAATTATTTTATTTTCATGCTCTCATGAAAGTCCAGTTCAGTGTGGGCATCAGTCTAGCTACTTCATTAGTCAACTCAAAGCTTTATTGGTAACATGACCGTCTGCTGGTTAAAGGTGTGCAAAACCCTTCACTGAATCAAGTTCTTGTGGGGGATTTTCCCAGGAACTGGGGAGATCAGCTTAATAAAGAAGCTGTAACGTGTGAAAAGGCTCCACACACAATGGGTCCAGATCTTAGCTCTGTGAAGTTACTTGGCCTGCTTAAGTCTTAGTTTCTTCAGCTGTGAAACAGAAATAAAAATCCTCATTTCACAGACTCTATAAAAGGTAATACATTTGTCAGCTGCAAAGTCCTGTCGTGATGGAAAAAAAACATTATTTGAAGAATCACTAGATGGTGGGTGATGTGTTTTGGCTGCGTTCCCCACCGAAAATCTCATCTTGAATTGTCATTCCCATAATCTCCACATATCAGGGGAGAGACCAAGTGAAGGTATTTAAATCATGGGGGTGGTTTCCCCTATACTGTTCTTGTGATAGTGAGTGAGTTCTCACGAGATCTGATGGTTTCATAAGTACTTGGTAGTCCCTACTGCATTCATTCTCCTTCCTGCTATCTTGTGAATAAGGCACCTTGTTTCCCCTTTGCCTTCCACCATGATTGTGAGTTTCCTGAGGCCTCCCCAGCGATGCTAAACTGTGAGTCAATTGAACCTCTTTCCTTTATAAATTACCCAGTCTTGGGCAGTTCTTTATAGCAGTGTGAAAATGAACTAATACCGTGGGTTTGTTTTGGTCATGGTTGTAATCGTCAGCACTTTGCACAGTGCCTGGCACATAGCAGGATGTCAGTTAATGTTGTTATATGAGTGAATTAATGAATGCATCAATGGAGATGGTTGGATGCATGAATAAATGGATGGAAGGAAGTAATGATGGCCAGATGGATGAATAAATGGAAGGATGGATGGATAGGTGGATGAATAAATGAATGATTAATAAATGAATGATTAAGAGTGGTAATCAGGGCCCCTCCTACAAATGGGTCTTTTCTCTCCTGTTCCTTGTGATCAGAGGAAGGCAGTTATCTTAAATTTGGTTTCTGCCTTACAACTGTTTTGTGGCATTGAGCCAGCCAACTAACCTCTAAGTTTTCTTGCTCATAAAAGGACGATAATGACACCTTCTTTGGGAGCTGATGGTGTAGTGGATGTTGAGAAAATTAACTGGGTGGTGGTAAATGACTCTGAGATCCCTAGATGAAAGGGGCCACAGAGATGAGCTGTTATTATGCTTGTTACTTCCCTCTCACCGCTTCTGCCTCCCTCAAGGTGGCTCTTCTCAGCCTCCTGGGGCTTGATGGTGCCCTAGAAGCAAGTTTTACTTAGAGACGAAACCTATCTTTCATTGGACTGACTCTTCCCTGGGGTCATTTGGCAGAAGGCTTCCAGGTGAGAGAGATATAATCCTAGGAACTTGGCTGCCCTGCCTCATTTCCTTCCAGAAGGATTCATTTTCCCAAATGCCAACCAGGCCCTGCACTGCATAACAGCCTGAAAACAGACTCCCTTTTCCTCCCTCCTGGTATGATAAAATAAGAGATTCCTCTAGGTCCTCTATTTTGGGAGTCTCACCTGTTGGCAAGACCTGGGCTTAGAACTGGAGACCAGGTGCCTACCATCTGGTGTCCAAAGAGACCTGGGATTCATTTACATCCACTCCAGATTATAGCCATCTTCCTTTCCCTTTTCCCACATGTGGCACCACAGGTTGAAGGCATAGAATACACATGTCTTTCAGTTTGTGTGTCTCTGATAGAGATAAAAAGGTCAACAGACGCTGGAGCTGGAAAGATGGTTTGGATCCACAGCTGTGTGCCCTTGGACAAATTACTTAACTTTCCTGAAGTTTACTTTTTACATCTGTAAAAAAAAGGGATATAATGCCAACCACATGGGCTCATTGGGAGAATTCAATGAGATGGTGCTTGTTAACGTGCTCAGGAGTTAGGCTTCTTTCTTCTTCTCCTCTTCCCTTTCTCTTTTAAGAATGTTCTTGGGATTTCTTGTACTCATAATGAATCTTGCCTTGTTTTTTTGTGCTTCCTATCCCAGTAAACATGAAGTTTCTGGATCCAGAGACATGGATGAAAGTCTTACTTCATTATTGACCCTACAGCCCATCACTGTCCAAGGACAGATTTTTCTCATGCTAGCTCAATTCTGTGCCTTCTTCCATCTTTTTCGCCAGACAATGGCAACAGCTTCCTTGCTTGTCTCATTTTATCTCCGTCAGCCTATCCTCCTGTGGAAGGCACAGAGTTTGACTTACAGTATAAATCTGATTAACTATTCCCCCACTTGAAGCCTCCCAATGCCTTCCCAAAGGAAGCAGAGGCCTCTGATGCCACATATGGCATCCCCTCTGTGCCCTTTGTAGTTGGAATTGAATGCAATTGCCAGGATACCCTTTCTCCTCTCTTCTCTTTTCTTCTTATCCTTCTCCTCCTCTCATTTCTCCCTTTCTTTGTTATCCTCTTCCTTCTCTCTCCTTCTCCTTCCCTCTCCCATCTTCTTCTCTTTCTCCTTCTTCTTTCTCTGCCTCTTCCTCTTTGACCATTCTGTTTTTTCTCCTCAAACTCTTCCTCTGCCGGTCTATCTCTCTCTTTACTCCATGCTTATCTCTCTCTTGGATGCCTCTTCCCTGAATTGACATGGGAGAGAATCCCATAGTGTGGCCACCGCCTCTTTGTATGGGGCAAAAGGGCATTGGAAGAAGAAACTTCATAATACACCCTTCCCTGTTGACATGACTGTGCATTGGGGAATCCAGTGAGGTTACTGAAGTCTGTTTGACCACGTAGTTTTGAATGGAGAGTGATGTGGGCCTTCCCTGTACTTTCCTCTGTCCGTTGCTATTCTTTTTTTTTTTTCCATGAATGTAGCAACTCAAAGCTGTTTTATTCCTTGAGAAAGTTTAATAACTAATTTTCCTCTATCACTGTAGCACCTTATTCCCTGAGAATGAAAAATAATCACATTGTTTTGTTTGTTTATTTGTTTGTTTGTTTTTGGAGACGGAGTCTCATTCTGTCAGGCTGGAGTGCAGTGACGCGATCTCGGCTCACTACATCCTCCGCCTCCCAGGTTCAAGCTATTCTCCTGCCTCAGCCTCCCAAGTAGCTGGGATTACAGGTGCCTGCCACCATGCCCTGCTAATTTTTGTATTTTTAGTAGAGACAGGGTTTTGCCATGTTGGCCAGGCTCGTCTTGAACTCTTGACCTCAGGTGATCCGCCTGCCTCAGCCTCCCAAAGTGCAGGTATTACAGGCATGAGCCACCGTGCCCAGCCAATTACATTGTTTCTTAATTGTAAATTTCTTAAGGGCAGAGACCATATTTCATACATATTTCCATCTTCAACAAGACGTGCACAGTGCCTGGTACAAAGTCAAAGTGCCATCAATATTTGTTAAATTGAATGGAGTGGAGAAATAATGTCCTCTTGATTGGAGTCTTTTAGACTTAATCCCCTTTGGTGCCCACACCTCTCTAAATAGGTCAGATTATTCTATAATAATAAGAACGCTTGAGACCTCCTTTGCCCAGGGCAGAAAAATTTCAGCCAGATCCATTTCAGCAGGTGATTTTCCTGCTGAGGATGTCTAAAGATGGACTCTTCACAGATGTTCTGTTGTCTTTTCAAGCATTTTATCCTTGAACCTAAGTATGTTCTTTTAAATATCCATGCAGACTCCCCACCTTTGCTTCACTTTGAACCTACTATTTCTTATCTGAATGCGAAGAGTGACTCCCAAGAAACTTTGCCTTAAAATGATTCCCAGGATTGAAGATAGAAGCTGAGATTTCCTCTCTCCTCTTTCTTTTTATTTCTTTAGATTGGCAGCTTCTGATTTTGGCTCTGCTACTAATCACCTTGAGTGAGTCAGTTTCCTTCTTGGTGTCAATTTCCTCAAGTGTTAGTGAAAGGCTGGACAAAACATGACCCACTGCCTGTTTTTGTAAATAAAGTTTTATGGGAACACAGTCATGCCCATTTGTTTAGATATCCTCTTGAGTTGTGTTTGTCCTACAACAGTAAAGTAGTTATGACAGAGACTATATGGTTTAAAAAGTCTAAAACATTTACTATCTAGTCTATTACAAAAAGGGTTTGCCAACCCCTGAAATAGATGGAAACTTAAGACTCCTTTAATCTGAACATCTATGCCATGGTTTAGCTAGTTCTACTGAACGCCTCATTCCTTATAGATAGGCATCTCCTCATGCAGGGGACACATGCCACTGGGGTTCCTGGACATGATGTTGGGGATCCACTGCCTGAAATCAAGCAGCATTGAAGTCCATTCTGAGCAGTTATTGTTTTTTCATTTCTCATCCAATCCTTCCCATTTTATCTAAGAGAGAGGCTCAAGTTGATACCAGAATGTGAAAGCATGATTCTCTCTGGCTCATTTCTTCAGGCACATTATCATATTCAGCTGGAATTTAATCACACTTATTTTACCCCCACTGTATGGGCTCATAACCCCTTTTGTGAAATTTCAAAGTCCTAAAGGCTCTGAAAATGGAATTTTTTTCATAAACCATTTAATATTTATACTTAACACAGACAGCAGATTACATATAGCCTTTTAAAAAATTTGTCTTAAATGGGATGACATCAAACTAAAAAGCTTTTGCACAGCAAAGGAAACAATTAACAGAGTGAAGAGACAACTTACAGAATGGGAGAAAGCATTTGCAAACTATATATCTGACAAGGGATTAACATCCAGAATATATAAGGAACTTAAGGAACTTAAACAACTCAACAGCAAAAACAACAACAACAACAAAACAAAAGCAAAAAAAATCCCTGAAGTCCTCACGAGTAACCCAATTAAAAAATGAGAACACTTGGACATAGGAAGGGGAACATCACACACGGGGGCCTGTAGTGGGGTGGGGGTAGAGGGGAGGGATAGCCTTAGGAGATATACCTAATGTAAATGCTGAGTTAATTGGTGCAGCACACCAACATGGCACATGTATACATATATAACAAACCTGCACGTTGTGCACATGTACCCTAGAACTTAAAGTATAATTTTAAAAAAATGAGCAAAAGAGTTTAAAGACATTTCTCAAAAGAAGACATGCAAATGACCAACAGGTATATGAAGAAATGCTCAACATCTCTAATCATTAGGGAATTGCAAATCAAAACCACAGTGAGATATCACCTCACTCTAGTCAGAATGGCTATTATCAAAAAGACAAAATAAAAGTTGGCAAGGATGTAGAGAAAAGGGAACACTTACATGCTGTTGGTGAGACTGTAAATTAGTATAGCCGTTATGGAAAACAGCATAGAGGTTCCTCAAAAAACTAAAAATAGAACTACCATATGATCTAGCAATCCTACTACTGGATATACAAAGGAAATGGCATTCACGTGTCAAAGAGATATCTGTACTCTTATGCTTAATGCAGCATTATTTACAATAGCCAAGATATGGAATCAATCTAAACATCCAACAATGGATGAATAAATTAAAAATGGCATATATACATAATGGAATATTATTCAGCCATAAAAAATGAAATCTGGTCATTTGTGTCAACATGGAACATCACATTATTAAGTGAAATAAGCCAGACACAGAAAGACAAATACCATATGATCTCACATATATGTGCAATCTAAAAAATTTATGTCATAGAAGTAGAGAGTAGAACAGTGGATACCAGAGACTAGGAAGGGGCAGCAGGAATAGGGGAAGATGGGAGATATTGGTCAATGGGTACAAAATTGCAATAAGAGAGGAGAAACAAGTCCTGTCACTCTGTTGCACAGTGGGGTGACTATGGTTAGGAGTCAGGCATTGTATATTGTGAACTAGCCAGAAGAGAAGTTTTTGAGTATTCTCGCCACAAAGGAATGATAAATGCATGAGGTGATTTGATAATTATGCAACCTATAGGTATGTTAAAACATCAAATTGTAATGTATAAATATGTACAATTACAATGTAAAAAAATTTTAAAAACGTCTTTCATTTTCCTATAAAGATGATCTTCATCATGAATAAAAAAACGATCTTAATGTGAATGTGTATAGGTGATGCTGCAAAACTATGAATGTATCTAATAAGGGGTGCAGTCCTGGGGGTATATGACCATGTTGCCTTTCTAAAGTCTATGAAGTTCTGAATTCTGAAACCCATCTGGCCCTGGGGGTTCTGGATTAGAGATGTGGACCCACATCTCTTTTTATGGTTACTTCCTATTTATGGCAAACATTTAAATGTATATAGAGTAAGTCCATTTAAACCCCCCAAAATACATATATAATAATAAGAGGGTGCTCAGAGTTGGCTCACATTGTAGAGTGGTATAGAAATGACTGACGTTTGGGAAAGCTTGTCCTGAAGGATATTTTCCATCCTTTTAATGACCCCTCAACATTTTTTTTTCTTGTTTCTCACACTATTTTGTCATCACCAAGCCACCCCCTTACTACCTTCAAACCTGGAGCATCTTTGTATGTAATGGTGAATTAATGAACAATCCTGTCTCACCCATACAATGATAGGTGACTTCAAGAGCTGATTCGACATTCCTGACAATTTTAGAGACAACCTTTGAGGTCACTGAGGACTTGCATAGGAAGGGTTTTCCCTGGGGAACCTGGATGGGGGCCAGAGTCAGGGATCTCAGAGTTCTGGGTCCCAGGAACACTATCCATGGCTTCTAGGCCAGACTCATCAGAGTGCTGTGTTCTGAAAGGAGCTGGTTCAATCCTTTCAAAGGGCAATATCCCCAGCCCTAAGTAGTTCTTAAAACACCAAACAACATTAGCTCCCACAAATGAGGGAGGCTTAAACCTAAATCTGATTACAGCCGAGAGTGGCAAGGCGGCCAAGGTGCTATAAAGAAATTACGTTATTATGTCCAAGGGATGCCATTAAAACTCTGTTTACAAACCAAATGTGCCAGAGAGTGGGTCAGGGAAAGAATTATTAGCAACAAAGCTATTTGATCTCTTTTATGATCCAGTGAGTCATATCGCTCCATGATCTAGAAGGTGAATAATGAAAACCTCAAGCCTGTTGATTTATAAACAGGCCCAGAATTCTGTGTTCTTTAACCTCAGATGCCCTCTTAAGTGTGACTTACCCTAAATCAAATGGGACATCAGATACCACTGGGCTTCTCCCTCCTCCTGAGAGGTAATTGAAGAGGTGATTGGCGTACAGGGTGCATAAAATCCCTGTTCAAGATGATGGATAGCTTCGGGGGATGGGTCACCAGCCAGGACTTAGAGACACGGCTTTGTTTCTACATGCCTTGTATCTGCAGGGCTTGAGGCTCCGAAGCTGCTTTTGTTCAAGCTCCCGGATTCTCAGCTAACCAAGGAAAGGGAGGCTCGGGGGTCGATGTTAACACTTTGTCCTAATAGCCACGATTTTGCTCCCCTTTTCTCCCTCTGAGGAGGTTGTAAGGAGCAGGATCAATCTAGGTTTACATCGGAACTCCACCACTATGGAAAGCAACCTCAGGACAGTTGCTTCAGGCCTCTGAACCTCAGTTTCCACATCTGCAAAATGACACAGTCATGGTTGGAGCCCTTACTCTGTGCCCAGCACTAGGCTAAGGTGCTTTATATGTGGCACATGCCAGATTATTATTATTTTTTATTTTTAAAAATTTATTTATAAGACGAGGTCTTGCTACGTTGCCCAGGCAGGTCACGAACCCCTGTGTTCAAACAATCCTCTTGCCTAGGCCTCCCAAGGTGTTGGGATTACAAGTATGAGCCACCGAGCCTGGCTCCCAGATTATTTAAATCCTCACAATGATCAGACTAATCATTTATCTCCATCCTGCCATCTAACAGACACTCCTCTAAGAATTTTCTATCTATTTGTTTATTTCATCCTAACGGTAACTCTGTGAGGCAGTGCTGAGATCAGGGTCCTCCAGGAGCCGACCCTGAGACAGGATTTGAGTCTAAGTGGAGAATTTGAGAGGAGATCTCAAGAAGCATGTGCAAGGAAGTGGAGAGGTAAGATGGGAAAGGAAAGAAGTTCATCAAGTCTCAGCCCTCACCCCATGTCACCAGCATCCCTACTGTGGGCAACTCGGATGTGGTCCCTGTGGGAATCTGTAGGAAGGATGCACCCCAGGGCTGTCTCACCAAATGGCAAGGAAGTTGGGGTGATCAGGCCCCAACTCCAGTCAATCACAGTGCAGGGCTCCTCCAGGAGTCAATTTCTAGCAGGTCCCACATGCAGGCCAAATAAATCCCTCAGGCAAAGAATCGTAGGTACTCACGGTTACAGTCAGAAGCCATTGAATCGGCCTGCATGGGCATGGTGTAGGGAGAGTATGGGCCTAGCCCCATAACATCCACTACAGATCCACACTGAGGGGGACAAAACTGAGCCACGGAGATTTGAAGTGTCTTCCCTCAAATTTCCCAGCTGGCAAGTAGGAGGAGAGGGCCAGGTTCCATATCTACTGGTCATCTCACTTCAGGGTCCATAATGGAAGCTTGTGGGTGATGCTTCATAACCCTCCACAGAAGGTATTAATATTCTATTTTACACATGAAGAATCTGAAGTTCAGGGGTGCAAATTGACTTTGTCCTGTAGCAAATGAACAACTGAGCCAGGGCTGAAACTTCTGTGGATTTCAAAGTCAGGGACAGCCTCAGGACGCTGTAATCCGCTTGCCTGCAGAGAAATCCCCTAGTTTCTCCTGAATCAGACAAGTTCTCCAGTGTCTCAAACCAGATGTTCTGGCTACAAGGACAGGCAGAAGGTTGATGCTGTCTCACTTCCTGAAGGCCAACATCATGGCTGAAGGCGAGGAAAGGTCATCTGTAAGTGCTTGGCTTGTGTGTCCATCCTGCAGTGAGGCTATCTCCAAGGGGGCTGACTCATGGCTCTAGTGCCATCCAACAGTTTCCAGTTCCTAGATGCTGCCTGACTCAGCTCTTTATTTGTTCCATCTTTTGTTGTTACCGGGTCCCATCCTCTATGTTATTTGGGCATGCCAAAAATTATGCACCTTTGAATCAGAGTTGGCATAAAAGGCTGTAATTATGTGTACTAAAATGAATTCTTTGAGGCCTTCAAGCAGAAACCCTTCCTCCTTCTTCTTCCCCTCGTACTCCTCTTCAAGGAGTGATACAAAGACTTAGAAAGTCCCACTGGGCTCACAAGCACCCTGGCAGGGAGGGCAGAGAGCGGCGTTAAGAAACCACATGGTGCCATTAGATGCTCTTGACGTGCTGTGGTTTTCTGGTTCACTCTGCTAGACGGTGCCCAGGGCTGTTCCCGGAGCCGTCTGTCATTGTACTTACAACTCACATCACACCCCGAGTCAGCCTGTTACCCCGCAGAGCCAACAGCCTGGCTGTTTTCATGCAAAGCCAGCAAAAACAGACTGCCTGGCGGAGCTGGAAAACACAGACTCCGCAGCCTCCTTCTTTCTTGCAGCAAAAATAAATGATAACAGCATTGAGGATGACCGGAGCCTGATGATGACAAGAAACAAACAAACAAAAAAGGTATCTTCTAAGCCCTAGACTGGGGGATTGGGCCTAGTTTGGGCACACATTTGCTTGGTAACCTTGGGCAACTACTTTCCTCTAACAGGGTCTCATCTCTTTGCTCATCCGTACAATGGAAATGCTGAGCTGGAAATGAACCTAAAGTTTCGTTTCAACATTTGAGTATTGTATTAGTTTCCTGGGCTGCTGACACAAAATACCACACAAACTAGGTGGCTTAAAACAACCGAAATTTATTATCTCAGAATTCTGGGGGCTGAAGTCTGGAATGAAGGTGTCAGGAGGGCCATGCTTCCTTCAATACTCTGAATAAGCTCCTTTCTTGCTTTTTTCAGCTTCTGTGGGCGCTGTCAATCCTTGAAGTTCCTTGGCTTGCAGCTGCATTTGTCCATCTCACATGATGCTCTCCCCTGCGTCTGTGTCCTCATATGTGTGCCTAAATTTGCGTCTGGGTCTAAATTTCTCTCCTTTGATAAAGACACCAGTCATATTGCAGGAGTGCCTACCATACCATAGTACGAGCTCATCTTAACTTGATTACTCAATCTGCAATGGCCTTTTTTTTTTTTTTTTTTCCAAATAAGGTCACATTTACAGGTACTAGGGGTTTAAGACTTCAACATACCTTTTTAGAGTTGACACAATTCAACCCATAACAGGCATTACTGAGTGCTTTTCTAGTGACCAGGTTTACGAGGTTTTATTTTGCGATTTGAGATAGGAGATATTGATGGCTTCCCCTCAATGGAGGAGAAATTGGGGATACAAGGGCAAGAACCATGTTAACTGCAGCCAGGGCTGACATTAAGTTGGGATGCATTGGTACAGCTTTATGGGTAGTTAAAACATAAGAAGACTTACCACTGTCCCACTATTCCACACTCTAAGAGAAGCATATAATTAGTCTCCCAGCCCCCAATCCCATGTATTCCTTTATGTGATTACATAAGTAATGCCTGTCATCCCCATTAGATCAGGAGCTCTGTATTGTTCAGATGCCTACATTTGGTTGTGGTTCAGAGTAGTTGCTTGTTGTAGGCATCCTCTAAGATGGCTCTCAATGACCTTGCCTTCTGGTGTCCAGGCCCTTGTATAAATCCTACCCCCCAACCCCCAATGCCACTGAAGAAGTCTGGCCTGTATAACCAATAAGACATTGCAAAAATAATGTTGTGCAACTTCTGAGGCTGGATCACAAAAGACATTGCAATGCCCACCTTGCTCTCTCTTGGGTCACTTGCTCAGGGGAAACCAGCTGCCATGTGGTGAGGATTCTCTAGCAGCCCCATGGAGAAGTCCATGAAGTGAACAACTGAGGTCTCCAGCCAACAGCCATGGGAGTGAGCTGTCTTGGCAGTAGATCCTCCAGCCCCAGTCAAACTTTCAGATGAGACCATAGACCTAGGTGACGTTTG
Source organism: Homo sapiens (assembly GCF_000001405.40). NCBI lineage: Eukaryota > Metazoa > Chordata > Mammalia > Primates > Hominidae > Homo > Homo sapiens. Next base: position 114,918,391 of record NC_000012.12, read on the forward strand.
TAACTGCAGCCTTATGAGCAGCCCTGAAACACAACCACCCAGCTAAGCCACTCCTGAATTGGTGACCCACAAAAATGAGTTTATAAATGCTTGGTTTTGTTTTAAGCCACTAAGTTTTGAGGTAACTTGTCATGGGGCCACAGATCATGAATACTATGCTCAGTGTAAATTTCTTGAATGAATAAGGAAACTGATGCATAAATCAATGAATGAATAAAAGAACTGTTTTTCAGGCTAATTATAGTTAGCTAGAAATTAGCTCCATCCACCATGGACTAAGTGGGTGACTTCAGGCAAATATAATCTTGCTGCCCTGGGTCTCAGTTTCTTCATCTGTAAAATGGGATGATAACAGCAGTAGCCACCTCAGAGAGCTGCTGTAAAGATTCAGGAAGAAAAGACAGGCAAAGACACTTAGCATAGTGCTTGGCAGGGATCATACTGGATTATTTAACACTCAGCACAACCCATGCATAAGCAGTCAGAATGGTCACCACCTGGCTTGATATCAGCCCTGGGGTGGGGCACATGATAAACTCTCCAGAATTGGTAGCTGTCATCATAATCATTGCCACCAGGCTAAAGGCTAATAACCTTAGTGCCTGCAGCAAGGAGCTCTCAACTTAGTGTGGGAAAGAGACAAGCAAGCAAACATTTACACTAGTGTGATGAAGGGCATAGGAATGTGCAAAATGATGATCCATTCTGCTACGGGAGGAAAATGCCCATATAATCACAGAGGGCAGAGGTCCAGAGGTCTCTGGCCTGAGCCTCAATTCCAGCTCTCAGACGCTTTTGAGAGTTAACGTTTGTTTCCACTGTTTCACCCAGTTTGGGAACAAATAAATTAGTTCTGAGCGGAACTAAAACCTAGCTCCACCACTCGTCTCCTATTGTGACCTTGGGCAAGTCACTTAGCCTCTCTGAATCTGCTTCCCCATTTATAAAAGGGGAACCATTAAAGTTGTTAACTCCTAGCAAGCACTTAAGACAGTACGTGGTGCTATTTTTGACACTGGTAAGTGCTTTATAAATGTCATGTGGGTTACTATTGTTACCACTTTTTTATTATTTAAGGTGCTGAATTAGACCCCTTCTTCCTGAAAGACACTAAAAGACACTCTGTTCTCATGGAAAAGATGGCTCCATGAGAGATGAATCTTAGTTTTCCTTCCCACACATACCATACACAGGGCCCTCTTGAACTTCAAAGAGAAGCCCCGCCAGGAAGCTCAACTCGCTGTAAGTGTAGCAGGAGAAATATGGGAGCCGGCTTCCAGGGCCGCTGAGCAGCTGTTTGATATCACACCAGGGTGGCCAAGACTTTGGGGACGGGCCTGTTTACTCCTCACAGATAACATCTCAAGTGGACTGTGGGGAAGGATGGGAAGGACGCTCAGGGTCAGCCTTCACCTTTGTAGTTGTTTAAATATCGATTATAACTCATCTGAGACTGACTTATGCTAGGGTGAGGAGCGAGTGATGTGTTTGAAGATATCCCATAGATTTGCTTGAAGACTTCATTTAGAGGATCTTAAATCTCTTAACAAAAATGGGTGGATCTCAGCCATCGTTTTTCTGGTTAAGAAAGTGCTCAGCAGCACTTTTGTTAATAAGCTTCATGGTTGAAAACTCTAAGATACCAGAGGCCTTCTCCATCTTAATTAAATATGGCAATGCATACTAATAAGAAATTGAGCTATCTAACTAATTGAAATGAAATGCGAATTGGATTTTAGAAAACAAGAAGTGCACAGACAAAGATGTTTTGGAAGCAGTTTTTAAAAAAATGCAATGGCTTTCCTACTGTAGGATTTCCTAGGGTCTCTTGTATGTCCATGTGCGTTTTGATTTTGTCTCCCTGAGAAGGACCTAGGAAGGCACAAGTTTTGCAAAAGTTTTTGGATCACAGAATCTTTAATTTGTGGAGCATAGTGTGAGATTAATATTCTTAGGAACACACTTTGGTCCAGGCTACTATGCGAATAAAATAGGTAAAGTACTTAGACCAGTACACACCACCCATAGCAAGTGCTTGGGGAATGGTACACATTATTATTGTTACCGTGGAGGGGGGTTGAACTTCAAAGTTGCCTCCAACTCTAAAAATCAATGATTCTCATTATAATGTCATCACAGAAAAGTAATTGAGCTTGTTGGCTTGGATGAAATGGAAAAAAATAATTGAAATTATGCACTCAAAATAGTTTCTTTAGTAATTTAAATGTAGTTCTTAACAAATAGCAAAGTTGATCTTCATTTGTCTTTTCTTTGTGGGGGAGGGGGGTTGTTTTTTCATAAGATCTTAGCAAACAATGAAATCCTCAGAGGCAAATCAAGTAATGTCCCAGGAAATCCCAGGACGCACATTTCAGCATGTGTAGGAAATGTGTTGTCTTCACAAGGGGCATACTCCAGCAGACCCTGAGTTGTACCAGTGTCCTACCCTGGACGTGAATGTGCTGTGAGCAGATGGAAACCACCTCACTGCTTTGGATACTGGGCTTTTAAAGTATGAAACATAAACAGGAGATTAATGCATCAGCTTGCCACTCAAAGTGTGGTCCACAGATCGGCAGCAGTGACATCACCTGGGGTTATTATTTTTCTTGGAGAGAGGTCCTTTCCCCTGTACTCGCAATTTCCAGGTTTTGTTTGGCAACTTGGTAAAGTGACCATTTGCTTAGCCAGATGTGCCTGAACATTTTGGAACTCTGAGTCAAGAGGGCGGTTCCTGCTTCAAGGAGAGAGCTGGTTCCAATTCTAATTTTCATTTCTAGATCTGGATATTTATGACAAAGACCTCATCAACCTGGAAGTGTAACTTTCCTGCTTTCAACTCTGAGTTCTCCATCACCTCCCCTGGCCCCTTGCACATACAGTCTATCTTCTTTTCCATATAATAAAACAGCAATGTAATCAGCCCCTGGAACATGTCTTGGCATTAGGAGTAAACTCAGGCAGCTCGGTTTATTAGCTGTTTCCATGGGAGAGAACTCTTGGGGCCAAATAGATATTTACAAATATTGTAAGCACTCAGCTGCTCCCCAGGAGTGACATTGCTGTCTGGAGATAAATAGCTTCTCAGAGAAGTTAGGCTTTCTTCTACACCCTCTACTCCTCCACCCTCCTCATCTGTCTTGCTTTCAGCCAGATCATCCTATAACCACAAGGTCCCCAGAAGAGATTTTTCACCACCTTTGGGCATTGAGGGCCCGAGGGCTTGAGGTTTACTACTCTGGGGGACCAGACCAGAAATGTGGTTTTGAAAGATGAATATTTTGATATATTTTGTGATTTAGCCAGCTGAGAGCCTTTGTGAGCAGAAATGAGCATCTCATAAGGGGTGTTTTTAGTCTCACAGTGCTTAGAGTGGTTGGAGGACCAGGTTCAGGGTGATTATATCAACTTCTCCAAGTATTCATTTATTCAACAAATAGACATTGACTCCCCAGCACATACAAGGCAGTGCATTCAACACTGAGGTTACCATCTTGTATCTGTTAGGGTCCAGCAAAAAAACTGGCATCATTAAAGGTCCTTCAAGCAGAGAGAATTTAATACAGGAAATTGAATCCATATGGGACAGAGGAACTGAGAAAGCAGAAAGTGAAGCAACCTAGAGTTTACCAATAGCAGGAAGTCACTACTGTCCCTAAAGAAAAGGGACAAAAAGAGGATCTTTTACTTTCAGAGGCTAAGTGCCAGGACCTTCAAGTGTAGCCAAGATTATCAAGCAGCTGAGGCTTCTGCCAGAGCCGGATGGGTGTGTGAAGTGATAACTACTCAACTGTGTCCTCTTCCCTCACTCTAGTCTTCCACCAGAGCCTCCTATTGGCTGAGAGTACAAGGAAGCAAGAAGGCAAAGGAGTTTGGAAAATGTAGCTCCTTAAGATTTGGAAGAGAACAGAGCAGATAAAGAATCTGAGAGTGAGCAGGTGTATGGTTGGCACATGTGGCAAGAGGGACAGTTACAGTCTTGGAAAAAACTGGGTGTCAACTATTGCCTTGGCTCTACTATATCCTTGACACTCTCTCCTAAACCCAAACTGAATCTGAAGGGTGAGAGATGATGGTGTTCCTCCTTTTTTTTCCAACCCAAAATTTGAGAACTTGCCAAGAGAAAAAAAAAGCCACATTGCAAAAGGAAATCTACTTCATAGATGAGCCAAAGTTTGTATGAACAAGTCCCCATTTTAACTTTAGAGCCCCCAAATGAACTTAGCATTGGGGTGTTTTCCAGCCTTGAAAACACCTTTCCCTGCAACAACCATGATTAAAATTTATTGAATGCTTGGTATGTGCTGGCCATTATGCTAAATTCTTCCCATACATTATCTCTTTAAACTTTATATTGATCCCATGAGGTAGCAGTAGCTACTCTTCTTATAACCAATTTGTAGATTAGCAATCCAAGGTTTAGATAGGTTAAGTTTAACATATTGCCAGGGAGTGGTGGAGCTGGATTTGGAGACAGGCAATCTGACTTCAGAGCCCATATTTTTAGCCACTCCTCAATATTGCCTTCCAATGAAAGTGTATTTAATGTTGTGGCAGGAAAGAGGAAAATCTCCGTAGAATATAGTTCAGATAATATAGTTCAGAAGATAGTTCAGAGGACCCCCCCAGAGTCATAGATTAAACAGGGTAGACACTTATTTCTCTTGCACGTAAGAGACTGGGCTAATCTGGCAGCTCTGCATCTTGGAGTGTTCAGTGGCTGGGGTCTCTCTTTTTTTCTTTGTCATCCTTAGGGTATTTTTCATCATTGACACTTTTCTAGTTATTTCACCATCAAATTTGTAATATAAACAGTGGAAATAGTAAGATAAATGTGAGGGAAAATAGGCTCCTTCACTCTAAGAGCATGACACAGAAATCACACACATTTTTCTCAGTCTCATTAGCCAGAACTTAGTTATATGTTCCCACCTAGCTGCAAGGGAGGTGGGAACTGGGCAGCCCAGCTAAAATTCAATTGTTCTGTCAATACAGCGGAAAAGAAAAACTGACATTGAGGGACAACTCTCTGGTTCTGCTTGCACATACCCTTCTTTTTACTTCAATGTACTGATTGAAAATCTTTTCCATGTTTCATCTCAGCTAATGGGCAAATCTCCAATTTGGGATAATTTTGTGTTCAGTTTACAATACAGGAGGCAACTGAGTACATGAGAGTTGAAATTGTTTGTTCCAGGTCACCAACTGAGTCAATTATGTGGGGAATGAGATTGGAATGGGTATTCATTTTATAAGTGGCCTTTCAATTCTTTTTTATATTAAAAATGGCTTTTTGCCTCTTGAGGTAACCTCATTACTGTGTTAGAGTTGGATAATAAATTCTTATGTAATGAAGACTCTGCATATAAACACCCTTTGTTTAATGCTCAGTGCTATTAGAAATTATTATTTGGACTGTTACTCAATTTTTGACATTAACACAATTCCAGCAAGTCTGAACTAACTGATTCATGTGAAACAATAAAAAATGTGTGAGAGCTGAAGTGTCTGGAGGGCTTAGTCAAGAAATACTATTTTTTTTTTTTTTTGAGATGGAGTCTTGCTCTGTCGCCCAGGCTGGAGTGCAGTGGCATGATCTCGGCTTACTGCAACCTCTGCCCCCCAGGTTCAAGCGGTTCTCCTGCCTCAGCCTCCACAGTAGCTGGGACTACTGGCACATGCCACCATGCCCCACTAATTTTTTGTATTTTTAGTAGAGACGGGGTTTCGCCGCATTAGCCAGGATGGTCTCAATCTCCTGACCTCGTGATCCATCCGCCTTGGCCTCCCAAAGTGCTGGGATTGCAGGCATGAGCCACCGTGCCCGGCCAAGAAATGTTCATTTTTATGGACAGAAACTTAGCCTAGTTCAAGTCAGGAGAATTAACTGTAACAGACACCGGATGATATCCCATGCATTCAAGGGTTAGAAACAAAGTTGAGGGGACCCCACAAGTTAGGAATTTGTCATTTGAGCCCTATACAACACATTGTATAGGAAAGCCCACATTGTTATGATATAAAAATAATCACCAGAAACTCATGCACGTATTCCCCAGCAAATCTCTCAGCCCGTTTTACATGAGTGTAACTACTCACTAGTGCATCAATACCTTTGTTGGACACTCCCTCACAGGTTGCCAGATGCTATAGGTATCCGACTATACCATGCAAATGAAATGCAAATGGATTGCAAAGTGAAATTGCAAATCTTGCAAAAGATGCAGGATTTCAGAAAGTGGATGGAAATTTTGCTGGAGAAAGGCTCTAATTACAAGCAAAGCATCTGATGGATGGGAATGTGGTAGCATCAGGCCAGTTGACAGGACAGGTGCTTCAGAAGAGAATGATTTGTGTATCAAAGGATTAAGAGAGGCCCTTAGGAAAATTGATGAAGCCCTCCAGTATTTCTGAAAAAATACCCTCTTTATGATCCTGCTGCAAAAAGTCCAATGTGAAGGGAACATGTCATCTTATGGTATCATATAATTTATGTAAATATATAGTTTCAGAGAACTTGCCAAAACTTGATTTGAACTTTGTTCATTCTAAGAATCAGAACATTGTTGACTTTACAACTGGACGGTTGTTAGATATGATAAAATAACTTGTTTTTATAATTTTCAGTTTGAAGAGTTTTCAATCCCCTAGGGTTCCCTGGAATGTTTTATTAGATTGTGAAGTGTATTGAATATTCCTTGTTCTGAGATGGGGTTGGAGGTTTTGACTTGCCATTCAGCCTTGTTGCTTTAGCTGGCTGGAAACAATTGCTGCGCAAAGTAATATGTGATGGGAGAGCATCAATTCTTGGCACCTGTTTGGGTGCTGGAGTAATAAGGCTACGGCTGCTGCTGCTAACAAAAAACAGTAACAGCAAACATTCACTAGACCTTTATCATGTGCAAAGCCAAATATTTACATGGGCTATGTCATCGAATCCTCAGATCACCCTATAAGGTAACTGCTGTTTTAGACCCATTTAACAGTTGAAGACAGTAAGGTTGAGCAAAGTCAGGCATTTTGTCACTAAGTTTCAACACTTGGTCATTTGGGAAACTAAATCCCTCCTTCACAACCCCCACTTTTTTTTATTGTAGTAATGGCATTTAACATAAGACTTCCCCTTTTATACAAATTTTAAGGGCACGGTACAGTATTGTTGACTCTAGGCACCATGTTGTACAGCAGATTTCTGGAACTTATTCATGTTGCATAACTGAAATTTTACACCCGTTGAATAGCAATTCCCCCTTTTCCCCTGCTCCCTGTCACTGGCATCCAGCATTCTACTCTCATGAGGCACCAAGCCAGTCATGAGGGATCCACCCCCAAGGACCAAACTCCCCACCATGCCCTACCAGGCCCCAACTCCAACACTGGAGATCAAACATTTACATAAGATTTGGAGGAGACAAGTATCCACACTGTATCAGCTGGGGACTCGGGAGAAAACGGCAATAAGCTGGCATTAGTAAGAGCTTGAGCCTGACTTTCTACAGATCTAGTTTCGAATTCTGGCTCTGTCAATTCTTAACCCTGGGACCTTATGCAAGGGTATTCGCCATTCAATGTGGAAAGAATGGCCAGAGACTTTGTAATATTCACAGAGCTAGAAATTGAGCTGGGTTCTGGTCTTGCTTCTTTCACTCTTGAGTGTCAGACCTCATTATCCCCCTACCCCTCAGTGCAGAACCATCATGTACCATCACCATGTGGAATCACTCTTTTCTTTGTGCCCTCTCTTTATCCCCTGCAAACTCCTATGTTTACATTTATTACTTTCCATCTTAGTCTCCCCCATTAGAATATAAGTTTCTTGAATGCAGCTGTGACTTATTCCATGTTTGTACCCCTATGTGGCAGGCAGCCTCTAACGTGACCCTCAATGGATCCCCACTTCCTGGTATTGAATATAATTGTGCAATTCCCTCCCCTTGAGTGAAGAATGGACTTATTGACTCACTCTAATGCATAAAATACAAAAAAAATATGGAATATCACTTTCAAGGTTAGGTTACAAAAAGATAGTGACTTCTGTCTTGTGTGCCTTCTCTGGTTCTCTTGCTCACTGTCTCTGGGGGAAGCCAGCTGCCACTTGGTGAGCTGCCCTAAGGAGAGGCTCACATGGCAACGAACGACGCAAGCTAACAAAGACCCAAGGCCCTTTGTTCTACAACCTGTAAGGAATACTTATTTCCGGTTGAGCCTTCAGATAAGGCTGCAGTCCCAGCCAATACTTTGATTACAGTCTTATGAAAGACCTTGAAGCAGGGAACCCAGTTAAGCCCGGACCAGGTTCCAGCTAAGTTTTGACGCATAGAAACTATGAGATAATAAATATTTGCTTGTATTTTAAGCTACTAAGTTTTCAAGTAATTCGTTATACAGCAATAGATAAGTAACATACTTTAAAAATTAGTGCAGTACCTAAGATATAAAGGGTATTTAAATAACCTTGTCGAATAAATAAATGACCTCAGAATCTTAATACTAATGGCCATGCTAATAATGAATACTTACTGAGTGACTACTATGTGCCAGGCCTGTAATAGACATTATCTTAAGTTATCATAGAAGAGTAGGAACAATTGTGATTCCTATTGTGTAGATGATAAAACTGAGACCTAGGGTGGTTACATAAGTAGAGTCAGGATTTAAACTCACTTCTATTTAACTCAATTCTTGATATATCTACCACTGTTCTGCCCTCTTTGTCTATCTTGGCATTTTAATCTAATTTTTTATTTTATAGAAAGGAAAATGGACCTGGCAAAGGGAAAGGATTTAAGTCAAGGTTACACAATGAATCAAAGACAGAGCCAGGACTAGCACTCCAGCCTCCTGATAGTCTATCAGTGCATTTTCTATCTCCTATCCTAGCCTGCCTTGAAGATACCAGACTGTCAGGAAAGGCTGGCTATATCTTTGTGAGTTCCACAATCATGCCGTTGATGGCTACCTTATGTATCACCCAAGCATGGCAAATGCAGTTACCCAATGACATCCATGCCCAAAATCGAACTTATTTACAGTAACTACACCTGCTTCTCCAGTAAGAAGCTCCTGTGTAATTGAGTGGACCAGGCAGGAATTAGATCTGGGCCCATGATCTATACAACCTGCCTGTAGCTTAATCTATGTCAATTATTTCTGCTGATCTCTGTTCTGTAGCAAAAGTTAACCATGTGGCTTTGGGAAGGCCAACAGAGGGGCAGCAGCAGATACATTTGGAAAGGGTCGTGCAGATGGTATGACTTGTCAATTTTAAAATTAGAAGAGCTTTGGGGTGGGCTTGCTTACTTTTTACATAAATTCAAAATGCCGTCTACCCCTTTCCTGATACCCTGGGCATCTTCTTTGCCAGGAAGCTTTCTTTTCTCCTTTTAAGGGGGTCCACCATGTATTGAGGTATCATTACTTTTCTTTCTCTGTGACTAGAATTTTCTGGACACAAGAATTTTGTCTTGTTTATCTCTGTGTCACTAACACATCATTCAGTGCCTGGGACATGGCAGATCACTTGACTGTTAGGCTGGAAGTAAATGAAAAGAAAAGGGGAGAAGTATATCTACCTCCACCCTAATGTCCTACGCTCTCCCTCTCCCATTAGCGTGTCTCTTCTTTTTCATGCATGTCAGCATAGGGTACAACGTAGTTTGTCCTAAACAGAATATGAAAGGTAATTAAACTAGCTCAGAAATAAGCCCTTGATCAACATCTCCAAAGCTTTTTTTTAATTGGCTCCTTGAATATTTGAATATTATTTTTTTCCTTGAGAGAGTCCTATTATATAATTAAGAATCCAAAGGCTCTAAAAGTCTGATAATAATAAAGAAACTAGAATTATTTTCTTTCATTTTTGAACCCACTTATTATGGGATGATTGACATATAAAAGACTGTACATATTTAATGTATACATCTCAGTGAGTTTGGGAAAAAACTATACATTATGATGCCATCACCTATCATGGCCGTAGACATACATGTAACCTTCCAAAGTTTTCTCTTGCCCCCATTATGATGATAATCATGATGATTATTTTGGTACCAAGAACACTTAACATAATATCTACCCTCTTAGCAAATTTTAAGTATACAATACAGTATTGTTAGCTGTCAGCACTATGCTCTATAGTAGATCTCTAGAACTTACTTATTTTGCACAACTAAAATTTTCACCTTCCCATTTTCAACCTCCTTCCAGCCCCTGACAACTGCCGTTCTATAATCTACTTCTATGAATTTGACTACTTTAAATTTTACATATAAGTGAGATCACGCAGTATTTGTCCTTCTGTTTCTGGCTTATTTCACTTAGCATAATGACCTTCAGTTTAATCAATGTTGCTGCAAATGGCGGGATTTCCTTCTTTTTAAAGGCTGACATTCCATTGTGTGTGTGCATGTGTGTATATATATATATGTATGTGTGTGTGTGTATACACACATATATATAATTATCTTTACTTTTAAAAAAAAACTGGCTGGGTGCAGTGGCTTATGCCTGTAATCCCAGCACTTTGGCAGGCTGAGGTGGGCCGATCACATGAGGCCAGGAGTTCGAGACAAGCCTGAGAGATAGGGTGAAACCCCATCTTTACTAAAAATACAAAAATTAGCCAGGTGTGGTTGTGCATGTCTGTAATCCCAGCTACTCGGGAAGCTGAGGCATAGGAATCGATTGAACCCGGGAAGCAGAGATTGCAGTGAGCCGAGATCACCGCTTTCCAGCCTGGGTGACAGAACAAGACTCTGTGTCAAAAAAAAAAAATTACTTTTAAATTGATAAAAACAAGGTAATTCATTGTTAGTTAGCTTGATTTAGACTTTCTACAAGGTATACATATATCAAAACATTGTATCATATACCATAAGTATATACTTTTTTTAATATCACAATTTCGTTGTCCATTTATTCATTGATGGACACTGAAGTTGATTCCATATCTTGCCTATTGTGAATAATGCTGCAATAAATGTAAAAGTGCAGATCTCTCTTCAAGACCCTGATTTCAACTCCTTTGAATATATATCCAGAAGTAGGATTGCTGGATCGTATGGTATTTCTGATTTAAATTTTTTGAGGTGCCTCCATACTATTTTCCATAGTGGTTGCACTGATTTTCATTTTCACCAACAGTGTACAAGGGTTCTCTTCTTCATATCCTTGCTTACACTTGTTTTCTTTTCTTTTTAATTTATAAAGAAAATAGGTTTAACTGGCTCACGATTGTCTGGGCTGTACAGGAAGCATGGCACCATCTGATTCTGGGGAGGTCTCAGGGAACTCTGACTTATGGCACAAGGCAAAGTGGTAGCAGGCACCTTCACATGGCTGGGAGGCTGTGTTTTGGGCCCTTTTGTCCATGGCTCTGATCCTTGCTCCAGAAGATAATCTCAGGTTTGGTAATGCAGTGTCCCAAGGATACCAAGCTGCTGTAGGTCTCCAGCATCATGTCTCTGTACAGGGTCTGCTAAGCATCATCCAGATCTGGTCACTCCTCCCAAGTGAAGTCCTTAGCCACATCCTCAAACAACACCAACACCAGAAATGTATTCATTTCTTTTGCTTTTGGAAACACATAGAAGGTTCTGGAATTATAGCAGAGATTTATTCATCTTTGCCACCCTTGGAAATGCACAGAGCACTGGAGCACTATGGAAGCATAGCTTCAGGGATGCTGAACTCAACTGGAGACCTGCAGGGTGGTCAGGAGAGCATAGCTGCTGAAATACAGTAACAAAATGGCAGAAATCCCCTCCCTCCCTCCCTCCCTCCCTTCCTTCCTCTCTCTTTCTCTCTCTCTTTCTTTCTTACACTAGCCATCCTATCAGGTGTGAGGTGGTATCTCATTGTGGCTTTGATTTGCATTTCCTTGACTGATTAGTGACGTTGAACATCTTTTCATACACCTCTTGGCCATTTTTATATCTTCTTTGAACAAATATCTAATCAGCTCCTTTGCCCATTTAAAAAATCATGTTGGCCGGGCGCGGTGGTTCACGCCTGTAATCCCAGCACTTTGGGAGTCTAAGGCGGGTGGATCACGAGGTCAGGAGATCGAGACCATCCTGGCTAACATGGTGAAACCCCATCTCTACTAAAAATACAAAAAAAATTAGCCAGGCGCGGTGGCGGGCTCCTGTAGTCTCAGCTACTTGGGAGGCTGAGGCAGGAGAATGGCGTGAACCCGGGAGGTGGAGCTTGCAGTGAGCCGAGATAGCACCACTGCAGTCCAGCCTGGGTGAAAGAGCAAGACTCCGTCTCAAAAAAAACAAACAAACAAACAAAAAAAAACATGCCATTTGTGGGTTTTTTTTTTCTATCGAGTCATATGACTTTCTTGTATATTTTGTTCATCAATCCCTTACTAGATATATGGTTTGCAAATATTTTCTTCCACTCATTCTTTATGTTGCCTTTTCATTTTATTGATTTTTTTCTGTGCAGAAGCATTTTAGTTTGATATAGGCTTAGTTGTCTATTTTTGGTTTTGTTGCCTGTGCTTTTGGTGTCATATTCCAAAAAATAATTGCCAGGAGAAGGGAAACATCAAGGAGCTCTTTCCCTACGTTTTTCTCTCTAGGAGTTTTACAGTTTTAGGCTTTACATTAAGTCTTTAATCCATTTTGAGCTCATTTTTGTGTATGAGCTAAGAGTCCAATTTCTTTCTTCTGCATATGGATATCCAGTTTCCCAACACCATTTATTGAAGATACTATTCTTTCTCCATTGCGTATTCTTGGTGTCCTTGTTGAAAATTTGCTGCAAATGCATGGGTTTATTTCTGAGCTCTATGTTCTGTTCTATTGGTCTATGTGTCTGTTTTTATGTCAGTGCCATACTGTTTTGATTACTATAGCTTTGTATTATATTTAAAGTCAAGTAATGTGACGCTTTCAGCTTTTTTTTTTTCTTCTCACAATTGCTTTGTTTATATTCAGAGTCTTTTGTGGTTCCATATGAATTTTAGGGTTGTTTTTCTATTTCTGTAAAAAATGTCTTTGGAATTTTGGTAGAGGTTGCATTGAGTCTGTTAATTGCTTTGGTTAATAAGGACATTTTAACAATATTAATTCTTCCAATCTATGAACATAGGGTATCTTCCCATTTTTATGTGTCTACTTTAATTTTTGTCATCAATGTTTTATAGTTTTCAGTGTAAGAATAATTTTCTTTAACTCCATCTTTTACTAATTATTGTGATCATGGGTCCATTTTTCCACTTAACTCCCTTTAGGAAAGTTCCATTAAAAGTATCTTACACTAGGCATGATGGCTTATGCCTGTAATCCCAGCAATTTGGCAGGCTGAGGTGGATGGATCACCTGAGGTCAGGAGTTTGAGACCAGCCTTGCCAACATGGTGAAACCCTGTCTCTACTAAAAATACAAAAATTAGCCAGGTGTGGTGGCGGGCGCCTGTAATCCCAGCTACTTGGGAGGCTGAGGCAGGAGAATCACTTGAACCTGGGAGGTGGAGGTTGCAGTGAGCCGAGATTGAACCACTGGACTCCAGCATGGGTGACAGAGTAAGACTCTGTCTCAAAAAAAAAATTATCTTACACTCTTTCTTATTTTACGGTGAATCAGAATGTGACAGGGCTGGTGGCAGAGGGATTGGTGTCATTTGGAGACCCATATTGTAATCTTAGTAAGAACATAGTTTACAATATGTCACTGGGTTCTTACATTACCTGCACTCTATTAGCCATGACTATTGTGGTTGCAAGCGGCAGAAACCCAAATAAAGAAAAAAAAAAACACAAAGTAATTTATTGGCTCATCTAATTATGATGTTGAAAGATGGACCTGTTTTCAGGACTATAGAGACTCTGAGAGAAAGTTGCTCTCTCTCCCTGTCCTGCTATCTCTCTCCCTGGCTCTTTCTTTCCATCTTTAGCACTATTTCTCATTCCATGTTGGTATCATTTTCCTCTATAACAAATATTCTTTTCCCTTTTGACTTTTGTGTAGTGGCCATTCAGGAATTTACATTATATGGAAGGACAGAAATAGTTATTTGGTCTCTTGTGTGGACCCTGAGAAGTCAGTGAGTTTTACAGAATTTCTTTGGGGGAATGAAATGAATCAATATTCCTTGCACCTGAAGCCTAACCATCTCACAGGACTGTGCTCCCCCTGGGGAAGAACATAAGGGTGTCACAGTCTAAAGATATCATCATCCCTTGGCCGGGCACAGTAACTGACACCTGTAATCCCAGCACTTTGGGAGGCCGAGGTGGGCAGATCATGACATCAAGAGATCGAGACCATCCTGGCCAACATGGTGAAACCCTGTCTCTACTAAAAATACAAAAATTAGCCGGGCGTGGTGGCACGTGCCTGTAGTCCCAGCTACTTGGGAGGCTGAGGCAGGAGAATCACTTGAACCCAGGAGGCGGAGGTTGCTGTGAGCCGAGATCATACCACTGCACTCCAGCCTAGGGACAGAGTGAGACTTCATCTCAAAAAAAAAAAAAAAAAAGAAAAAAAAAGATATCACCATCCCTCAACAGCATACCCGGAAGTCCTTTTTATCATGCCTCTCATATCTTATCAAATGGACTAATCTTTTTTCTTTATGAAAATGCAACTTAGCAGGTTAATCCACCAGTTTACTTACCTTAAGGATGCCCCATGTGGATCTCTCAGCCAGCTTTTATGATCACAACCTCCTTCACTAAATGTTGAGTGATTTTCATTTCCCGTGGTGCTCACATAGGTCACTACTTTAGTCAAGGCTCTTTGGGGTTTGAGGAATATATTTCTACTCACACAGGTTCAAGCTAAAGGAATTTTCATTGTAAGATTATCCTCAATAAGACAGAATAATGTTAATAATAATAATTATTATTAATAGGGTTATTAATAATAGGATAAATCCCAGAGGCCAAAGGCAGGAAGAGGAAGGACACCTCGAGAAAGCTGGAATTGAGAATTACGGAGTAAAGGGCACCATTTCTGCCCCTATCTGGGGCCCTGTGGCCTTTCTCATTTTTTCTCCCTTGTGGAGTCTGCTGTATCCTCCTTTTCTCACCTAGTCTGTCATTCCTCATAGTGGCAATGGCCATGGTCTCATTACTCCCCACATCCTGACCTGGTGCTACTGGTGACCCTCACCAACCGGCAGCTTGGTTTCCCAATTCTAAATTCTGAGAACAGAATTTATGGTCTGAGTCATGTCTCAGTGGACAGTGCCCTGTATGACACATCCGTGACTGGCCAGTAGGCAGATGATCTCCTATAGGTCAGGTTTCCTCCCCTGGACCAGCCTGGGGCCAGGAACACAGTGGGGGCTGTGGGCAGTGATTCATCCAGGAATTCTGGAAGCTAGTTAACCCCTGTTTTACTCCACATGATTAGGGTAAGACACTGGCTAGTGTGACCCACGTTTTTTGTTAAATAGGGAGGACACACATCTCACGTTCAACTGGCTACAGCCTGGGTGCTCATTTAATTCAATAAATGTGTACCAAGGGCTAATTCTGTGCCAAGGACCCTGTCCAGCACTAAGACTAGTCCAAGGTAAATTCTTTCTTCATTCTAAAACCTCTGAATTCATCTGTAGAACATACCACAGAGGTTTATCATCATTTCTTACAGCAAACACAGTACTGAGGAGAACAATATCTTCTGAGACTCCTGCAATGATGAGGTCTATGCAGCAATCTGACCCTGCACTGCAGTAATGGCGGGGAGGCACACATGCTGGATGTCAGGTCTGTCCCGTATTTGTATATTGTCATTTGATGGGTCATTTAAAACTCTAAGCTATTAAAATAAATGGTATTCTTATCATGATATGAATTCTATTCTTAGCTCATCGTAGTGTACATGTATTTAAACAGGACTTTCTGATGGAATTTTGGCTAAGGTTGGAAAGCAACCAGTCTAAATATTCCCACCTTCCAAAGGAAGGTGCTAAAGCTTCTGCTACCTGGATGGCACTTCCAAAACTGCACTCCAGCCTGGGTGACAGAGCTAGAACCTGTCTCAAAAAAAAAAAAAAAAAAAAAAAAAAAAGAAGGAAATCAGCACAAAGCTGATCTTTCCAGGCCACAGGAAGATTTGCTTTCTCTATAGCTCCCTTCCTTACATACACAGGTGCACACTCACACTCACACCCAAACCCACCAGTAGTGTGGTTCTGTGAAGGGTGGCCCAGACCTGGGGGCTGTGCAGGGAACAAGGACTCAAACTGAAGGCAGCTGCTGATTGCCTCTTGTAAGTGGAAACTGGATTTCCAACACTTTGCCCAAGACAGTACCTGAAGGCTCCAGGCTGACTCTCCCGCGTGGTCACTTGGCCCACATCTGTGCCATGGAGAGCCCATTCTAGCAGTTCCCTGACCGCTGGAAATGCAGGCCTCTATCCAAAGTGACTGTGCATTCTAGCTGCATCTCAGCTTGTCACAATCCCTCCTGATGATGAGACTTCAAGGAAACCACTTGATGAACTTACCTATTGGTTCTTAATTCCTTGAGGCATCAGCTGAAATTGAGACAGAGTCCCATCTCAGCATCCTGGTACCCTAAATCATGTTTTCCAATTGCAAAGAGCCCTTCGAGTACTAAGGAGAAATACCTGAATGTACATTAAAATCGAAGCATGTTGATGATTATATGATCAATAGCAGATGCAATTCATTGAATGTCTCCTATTTGACTAGGGTACAGACAATGTATTGGCCATTATTCATGCAATCCTATTCATTATCATCACAGCTATAAGAAATAGAAGTTATTAAGTCAACATCATAAATATAGAGCTAAGACTCAGAGAGAATAAGAAAGTTGCCAAAGATCACACAGGACGTAAATGTTATAGGTGGAATTTGAACATGTGCTCTCATCGTGAGGCCCTGGTCAGAGCAGGCCTGGAGCTATAAGAAATAGAAGTTATTAAGTCAACGTCATAAGTATGGAGCTAAGACTCAGAGAGAATAAGAAACTTGCCAAAGATCACACAGGACGTAAATGTTATAGGTAGAATTTGAACATGTGCTCTCATCACGAGGCCCATGCTTAGAGCAGGCCTGGAGCTTCTGGGTCTTTATAGGGGAATGTCTAAGTCTCACTTTCCTGGTGATTTATCCCTGTGAAGATTTTTTATCAGAAGTGAAGTTGTCTTTTTTTTTTTTTTTAAGAAAAAGAAGTAAGATTTCATTGCAGAATGGGTTCAATATATGTCTATGTTTACTTCTATGTCCACATTCGTACCCACCCTATGTCCATACCCAAACTTATACCTATTTTTATATCTTAACTTGCCTTACATCAGGGTTTCTCAGCTTTGCTACTATTGACACTTAGGGCTGGATAATTCTTTGTTGCTAGGGGCTATCCTAGGCGTTACGGGATATTTAGCAGCATCTCTGGCCTCTACCCACTAGATGCCAACAGCACCATCCATCAGTTGTGGCAACTCACTAGACATTGTCAAATGCCCACTAGAGGGCAAAATTACCATCTCCTGCCCCAACTGAGCACCACTGTCCAAGAGTAGCAACATGACAAAGTGGACCCTTGGTTTGGCTAAAGCTCTAAGATCACAGATTTCAAAGGATCTCCAAATATCAAAACAGAGTACTAAATCACTTAGGCAAGATTTTCAAAGGAAGTCACTGAAAACCAGATAGTTGTCCTGATGGCCTTCACTCAAGAGGCAACTCAAGGAAGGCCCCTGCAAAGTGATGTTGCAGAGCAAGCCTCCTTCACCCCCACTTAGAGCCCAAGACATGACTTCTTTCCCGATTTCTTCTTTCCATTTATTCTTGGCCTGTTCAGGAAGGAGATGGCAGCATCCATGGTTCTCTCATTTATCTTCTTAGTCATTTTGTTTATTACTCTACAAGCCACCCTGTTCCTATCTAATCAGGGGTCTGCTTCCTGTTTTTGTTCACTGCCATTCGCCCTGCTGGGGCGATTTTTATCATCAAACAGTATGAAAATAGAATGTTAGGAATTGGCACCCTTCTCCTGTTGAGAGGCCATGAGGCTGGCCAGCGCTTGGGCAGAAGATACGGAAACAGCACAAGACCCAGGCATGCATTGTCTGCAGGACAAACACCCAAGCATGCCTCTAGTTCCCTTCACATGGACTCCTCTCAAAAAATAAAAATAATGATGCAATTTGTTTAAACCTGAAGACATGTATTTACAAGCCCTTCATGGCCATTCTTCCTCGAGAGTGGAGGGAATTTTCATAGTTTGATGAATGGGTTCCGTCTGCCATCTGAAATGTACGCAAAGGTGGGCATTCCCATTCAAGGGTGGCTCTCCACTTCCGTTTTGGTTCAATGCCTGTAGTCCGGAAGGAGCCTTGGTTCTCAGTAATGCAGGAGAATGGAGGTGTGTGGGTGAGGACTCGTTGACTCCAGATCTCTGGAAGAGCAGGAAAACTTAATGACGTGGATGTCTTAAAAGACTTTTTCTATAGGCCCAACAGTTTTGCTATCACATGACCTTAGATGACTCATCAGATGCCTGATGGAAGAAAGGGGAGTAGTGCTCAAAATCTGTTCCATTAGTCTCCCTCTGTGACTTCTAATTCAAAGTGTTGAGTCAGTGCTTATGTGTCAAGCACCTATTGAGTGCCTGGCATAAGAAGAGCTGCTTCAGGGGAAGAGCAAGAAACAAGTCCAAGAAGGAAAAAGCATAGTTTCTATGTAGTGAATAGTTTCTTATTTTTCAAGACTCAGCCAATTTTCCATTTCTTGTACAGTTTCATTGATAAACACTGCTTGTCCATTTCTTCCTATAAAATGACTCCAAGTTCAAATATCCCGGTGATATAATTTATTACATGTCATTAGGATGCTGACCTATCGCTGTACATGTATGGCTTACATGCCTTCACTTGCCATCCCAGACCGATCGTAAACATGGTTAATTAATCAACACGTTCTTTTCCCTATTTATTGCTGTGGCCTTAGAATCCTTCCAGACAGCATCCTAAAGTAAAAAAATGCTACCTCCTTGTCCCCATTAGAAGCTTCATTCCAGCAAACACTATTATCAGCTAAGCAAAGAGCCAACTAGCTGAATTAATTCACGCTGGCCTACAAATAGCTCTTAACCTTTTCCGTTCTTTAGTATTGCCAGATAAAATACAGAACTCCCAGTTACATTTCAATGTCAGGTGAACAATAAAGAAAAGAAAATTATTAGCTGTTCCTCTGAATTTCAAATTTAACTGGGAGTCCTATGTTTTTACTTTTGAAATCTGGCATTGCTACCTAACATCCACTTTCGAAAACAGTGTTGTGAGGCTTTAAACTATGTAAATCTGTGATGTTGCCATTTTAGGCCTGGGCGACAAAGAGGTGAGACTTTTACTAGTAGATGTTGGGAGGAGAAATAATTTAGGGCCTGCTGGAATAGGAAAAGAGAGCCTTTCTTTGTCCTGAAATTGCAACCCATCTTCCTACTCTGCCTATAGACAAGCAGCAGGTATGGAGACACATCAGGATTCAATAGCTTTTGCATGAATAACCCCTTCAACATTGCTTTGGGAATGGGAGCTGGAAAGACAACCTGTCTCTAGCCAAGTTTTTCTGTCACCAGTTCTATCTTTGAGGATGTGGATTCCGCCCCGCCTGGAGAGAGCTCAGTGGCAAGGATCAGGTGGGAAGAAGAGGTGCATGACTGGAGGGGATCTTAAAATATCTGCGCACAATTTAAGGTGCTGAAAGCCAAGATGAAAACACCCCTCTGCATTTGAATGGGCTGTGTCCACATTGCCTTCTCAGACAGAGCTGGTAAAGACCAGCTTTACCTGTTATGTGCAGGTGTAGCCTTCCTGCTTGCCCAGCAGATGAATGTTCAGATGAATGCACCATGCCCTGCAAGGTGTACCATCCCCTGATTTTAAAGTATGCGGAGGAGGGCAGGTGGGCATGGCATTTGATAGAAGTTCTCCATCTCTGCCAGTAGTTCCCAAACTATGCTGCACATTAGAGTCACACGGAGAGGTCTTCTCAATCTTAATACTCAAGTTGCTCCTCAGACCAATCCAATCAGAATGCCTGGGGCTGGAGACCAGGAGTCCACATGACTTGAAGATCTCCTGGTGATTCCAATATGCAGTCAAGTTTGGGAGCTACTGGTCTATGTTTAACACGTTTTTTCTGCTCCAGTGAACACATCCTCAGCTAGACATCCAGGGATATGACCGCAAGGGAGAAGTCGCCCTTCCTTGTCCGGCCAGGGGGAGGAAGATCGAGGAGGGAGGGGGTCCCCTCAGGATAGAGTCGCATTGTTTTGTATCAGTTTCTGGCTTTCTAGCTTGGCCACGCTGGCAGAACAAAGAAGGCTTCATGCAGACAAAAGCGCACTGTTTCACCTAATGAGGAACAGTTGAGAGGTCTGGAGACAGCACCCCATCAGTGCGGGACAGAGGGCGGCAGAAGAGAGGGTTGTCAGGCCGGCCTAATGAAGACCAGTTGAGAGGTGCCGGCCAGACACCAGACTCGCCTTTCTTTGTGAGCCCCCAACACCCTCCCCCTGCCACCTTTCTGTCTCAAGAGGCTTGGCCTTGCTTCCAGAAACAGAGAGAGACATGCTTAGATTCATCTGTCACAGTGATGGATCCTGACCCCGTGACCTCTTGAGCCATGCCCTCCGGCCTCTGGATTTGACCTTTCCAAAGAGGCCCCAGTCTTCGACCAGAAGGTCCCTATTGACTACCTGCTAGTGGCCACCTGCTGAAGCAGCCCCTGAGAAATTAAAGCCGGCAAATGGTTCACCAGGGACTCTTTGAGGCTTTGCAGGAGTGCTGTGTCCGGGGCCCATGAACCAATCTCTCTAATTATCTGCTGCAGGATGCCTTTTGACTTGCAGCTTCAATGAACTGCAGGGCTTTTAAAAAGCAGCACTGTGAGATCAAGAAAGAAGAAGAGAGTTGTTAGAAGGGCCTTTGGGGTTCCCTCCTTGCTTTAAGAACTCCCTGGGAAGTAGAGAACATGTGCAACTGGGTGAGCTGGGAGGATTTTGCTCTCCAAGGACTCTAGCTTTCAGAAACACAGCCAGCTTCAACTAAAGACCCTACTTTTGGGCCTTTCCTGGAATGTAGCTCTACTAGCAGAACTGTATTTACCCAGAACCTGAGCCCCTACCTAGGTCAATGTAGACGTTATCCATACAACATTGCCATTTTGTTTTTGTTTTTGTTTTTGTTTTTTGAGATAGGGTCTTGCTCAGGCTGGAGTGCAGTCACATGATCTCAGCTCATTGCAACCTCCACCTCCTGGGTTCAAGTGATTCTCCCACCTCAGCCTCCCAGGTAGCTGGGACTACAGGTGCGCACCATCACACCTGGCTAATTTTCTTTTTTTTCTCTTTCTTTTTTCTTTTGTATTTTTGGTAGAGAGGTTTCACCGTGTTGGCCAGGCTGGTCTCGAACTCCTGATCTCAAGTGATCTCCCCGCCTTGGCCTTCCAAAGTGCTGGGATTACAGGCATGAGCCACTGCACCTGGCCAACATTGCCATTTTGTGGCATAAAAATTGTCCATATTGACAATTTCATATAGTTTCAGCTAATAACTGAATTTGAGTAAACTGTGTCTTCCCCAAATAAAGAAAAGTGATGGTATATCAGTTATCTATTGCTATATAACACATTCCCCCAAACTTAGAGGCTTCACACAGCAAACATTTATCATCTCAGTTTCTAAGGGTCAGAAATTCAGGAGTAGCTTAGCTGGGTGGATCTGGCTCAGTGTCTAGGTTGCAGTCAAGATGTCACCCAGGGCTGCAGTCATCTGAAGGCTCAACTGGGGCTGGAGAATCTGCTTCCAAGATGGCACCCTCACATGGCTGCTGGAAGAAGTCCTCAGTTCCTCACTGAATGGGCCTCTCTCAGAGTGGCTTGAGCATTTTCATAACATGGCCACTGGCTGCTTCCCTCAGAATAAATGATGCAAGAGAGAAAGCAAGGAGGAGCTGCATTGCCTTTTACGACCTAGCCTTGGAAGTGACAATCTGACATTTCCACAATAACCTATTGGTTTTGCAGGTCATCCCTATTTAGCATAAGAGAGGAGTATAAAAGTGTGTGAGTACAAAAAGGCAAGACTCACCTTGGAGGCTGGCTACCCAGGAGGGACCTTGTTTACCACCCTCCTCTGTAACATAACAACTTACTGATTCTGTGGCTACTTCCTTTCCACACTTTGTGATACATTTTGGTATTATCTGAAGGGTGAGTCTCTTTGCCACCTCCCTCCTCCTCCCTCCACCATATTAAACAGGAATCTGGCTGGCCAGGAGGTCTGAAAACTTGCAGCTTGGGAAGTAGCAGGAACAGAGAGCACTGGAAAGCACAAATGTCCTTTGCTGTTCAGCCTCCATGATTTTGGTGCCCACATCCTCATTTAAGGGAATTTCAAGCCTATGACAAGAGGAGCATTGGTACAGCATTCATTTTGTAACTGATTTATTCCATATAGATCTCCCAAGAAACTCTAGCTTATACATTTTCTCATCAGTAATTATGGATAATTCACCCACCATGCACATAACAAGACAGTGAATAGCTGCTACTATTTACTCATTGTTTACTGTGTGCTGGACCCTTGACTAAGGGCTTTGCTTGTCTTACCTCATTTCATTCTCATAAGCCTTGGAATGTAGGCATTATTATTTTCTTAGTTTATAGTGAATGAGATTCAGAAAGGTTGAAACTTTTCCACTCTCACATGGCTACTAGGTTAGGATTTGAAAGCAAATGTGTAAAATTGGAGTCTGAGTTTATAACCATGATAATGAACAAGTTTGAATATAGGAGAGGGAGAGGTAGAAATAGACATCCAATGTGTTGGTTCATTTTGGGTTGCTATAAAGGAATACCTGAGACTGGGTAATTTATGAAGAAAAGAGGTTCATTTTGTTCATGGTTCCACAGGCTGTACAAACATGGTGCTAGCAACTGCTTGGCTTCTGGTGAGGACTGGTGAGGAGCTTTTATCCATGGCAGTAGGTGAAGGGGGAGCAAGTGTGTCACATGGCAAGAGAGAGGGTGCAAGAGAGAGACGGAGGGGTGCCACACTCTTTTAAACAACCAGTTCTCACATAAGCTAATAGAGGGAAAACTTACTCATTACTACAAGGAGGGCAACAAGCCATTCATGAGGGTTCCACCCCCGTGACCCAAACACTTCCCACTAGGCCCACGCTGGTAATCAAATTTCAACATGAGATTTGAAGGAGACACATATTCAAACCATATCATCCCCTAACATCCACTCCACACTCATGGCCCAGTGATTTTAGGATTGGTTTCTGCTGTGGCATTGCAGGTTGGGTTCTTTGGAAGCTAATTCTGAGATGGAAATTATCATGTGGGATATTTTTTAGGGAGCGCTCTTGGGATTGACATTTTCAGAAGAGAGGGAAGAAACCAGGGTCAGGTGGAGATAGAGGCTGAGCTTCTGTGTAGTCCCAGGGATGCCCTCAGTCAACCCTATGGGGTGTTAGGGAGCTGAGATGGCCCTTCAAAGATGTCCCAAGTTGGAGTGAGAAGTCTGGTCTCGTACCCTTGTGTTGACCAGTCACTGACTGCCCTCCTTGGAAATCTCCAAAGAGAGGGGATGTCTGTGGATCACCCATCAGCAGAACTCCTAACAATGGTGGGAATAAATTCTTTATTTGTGAAGGGGATCACAACATTCTGTATCAGCTTCTAATCTAATTGAGAAAGTCACACATACTCATAGAACAGACTCACAGATGAATGGAGACACATACACACTCTCCCACACTCATCGTTGGCAATTCCACGCAGCAGTAGACGATAAGTTCAGCTATAGGAACTTAAATAACTGTTCAGAGGAGGGGAGAAAATGCATTTGAGAATTTCACAGAAATTTTTATTTCCTCTGAACTATCCCTGATTATCAGTGTTAAATCCTTCTACCTCTGCCCTCAGCACAGTTACATCCAACTGATAAGCAGAATACCAATAAGCATGGTACACAATGCAACAATATATACAGATTCACAACAGAACACACTCAGTATTGTACACCTGCATACAAACACAATTCACTCACACACACACCCTCAAGTGTGCACAATATCCATATACACGTATGCATATATTCACAGCACACACTCATTTAAACACAACGCATAGCCACACACTCCCAAAGTGCTGCATACATACACAAATGTAGACAGTGAAGTTTGTCTAAACTCAGCAAGATAATTTGATAAAGATAAAATTATCTTTGAAAAATCTATTAAATTGCCACACTATGAAAGACACGTGGGGAATTGGACAAGTTATGGGAACAACAGAGACGTATCTTACACCCTCTGTGTAGCGTAAAGTGTTTATTAAACAGAGTGGTGAGCAGAGATCTGACTATATTATTTACTATTCTCACTCTCCTCTCTCTCTTTCTCTGTCAATAGTTGAGTTTGTGTCAGATAAATAAGCACATATTTCTCTACTACATCACATTACGTGGACACAAACAACACACACACACACACACACCCCTCAACAATGGATGAGAATTCCAGAAAAGACGGAAGCCAAGAATTTCTTCCTTTCCTGTCGGACTTTTCCTTCATCCCAGTTCCAAGTCATCTCATCAGTAAAGACCCCCCCAAGTCATGGAGTGAAGAGGTTGATGCTGTGCTCACCACCTTCACATTGGTCGCCAAGTCTACAAACCTAGTTGTCAATAAGAAGAGAGTGTGGAAGGAGATTTCCAGGCCCAGTGAAGCCCTCTGTATTTATTGCCAGCCAGCCTCTTATCCCAGGAGCAAACACTTTGTAGTCTGAAGGGGCCATCTCAGATCAAACAGGGTTACCTCCTCAACTTCACTCATAATTGGAACAGTGCTTTCTTTTCCTGAAGCAGTTAACTCTTTTCCTCCCTTTCCCTGAACTCTCTCTTTGCCTGTTCAACTTCTGTTGTTTTGAGCAGAGAACCCCATCCCCATGACTGTGTCATTTCCCTTCTCTGGAAGGTCCATCTGTGCTGGGGGCTGCCCATCTGCACATTCACCCTTCATCTGTCATCAAGGGCTTCCTTCCATCCCCAAGTCCCATTTCGACATTCTCCTGCTTCACTACAGCCCATAACTCTCAGGCAAGTGGATTAACATGGTAATTTATCTGCAAAATTCCTTGAGTGAGGGATGAGGAGGGAGGAAGCCCAAGAGAGACCCTTGTCCCTGAATATTGAGTGGTTATTCTGTACACTAAGTAAATGATAAAACAAGCTCTGGGGTTTGGGGTAGGGGGAGGTGAAGGAAGGGTTTGGGTTCAGTAAGGGGATGTTGTCATTCTGGAAAGTTCCAAGATTTGCTCTCCTTCCTCTGCCCAAGCTATATAAATAACCTGGCCCATTTTGGTTGGTGATCTCACTCTCAGATTACCCATTGCTACCCCAACTCACGCTTCTTATTTTGGAGATCCCCTGACTGGTATGGTGATGCCTGGTGGTTTCATTAGTAACCACTTGGCCATACTTAGGAACAGCATTGAACAGAAGACCAAAGGAACTGTCTTCCTGTTCCACCATCAAGGTGGGGGTGAGGGAGAAAATAGGAGGAAGAGATGGAAACAGAAAGTGTGACCAGTATCTCTCCCCAGCCTGAGCTGGGCTATGATAGTCCGAGATTAATATGCCTGAGGATTCCATATTAACTAATAGTGAATAGCCCTATTTATTCACAACCTGTACCTCCTTCTATTGTGGGTGACTTTTCTACTTGTCGGGAAGTGATAATCCAATGACACCCACTCTCCTTGGATGGCTTAGATTCCCATGCTATCTGTAAGCCAGCCAGTCTAGACCAAGGGCACAGTTTGCTAATGTAACACAGAAAGGGGCCAAGACATGTTTTCTCACCTCTCTCTAGCCCTCCACTTAATTTTGGCATTTCAAGGACTCCAGAACATTAGGGAGGAGGAAGGTGGCAATGCCTCTGGTACATAATAAAAGTGCAGAGGGAATGTCTAGAGCAAGATGATGGCCTTTGAGTTGTGTGGCTTCTAATCCCAATTTAGACCCAAGTTAGGAGGCCCCCTAAAAAAGTGATGTGCACTTTATTGGGGGAGGGCTGAGTCCTCCGTGAATATCCGTCCTGTGGGATGTGGGTTCTTCCTGTTGAATTATCTAGAAGTTGCAGAAGCTTGGGAAGCTGAGATGAGAGAATAAAAATAATGAATGGGAGAATAAAAATAAGCATGTGAGAGAGAGTAGAGAAATTGGTCAGGTGGTGATAGAAACAAAGCCCTTCATCTTCTCTAAGTTCCAGCTGTTGGCTCAAAAGACTTCGGGGTGATATTCTGAAATTAAGCTCAGAGTTCAGCAAAGAGTCCTTGCTGCAGGGTTTTTTTAATCCCCCATGGTTTACCCCTCTCCACTTAAAGTACCCCCCGCCCTGCACTGCCCTTTATTGCCTCTGTTTCAAAAGGGTGTCAACAAGCCATTGGAGATCAATACACATTAGTCCATCTGTTTTCACTTTGAGGTGCCACATTCAGCATATGTCTTGCAATTCTTCTGACTGATTACTCTAAGCACTGACAGTTTGACTTTGAGTTGGAGTTCTCTTCCCTTATCTGCAGTTATAGTTTAACTTGTAGTCAACCAAGTTTTCCATAACAGTTCTGGTTACGAAAGACCATTTTTGATTAAATCAGAGAGTTAAGTCGCACGCTCCCATCCCAAAGCATTGTACCATAGTGATGTTCTCTAGCCCCTCAAGTTTGTTAATCACTTTTTATTACCAGCTACCCAAAGTCTGACCCAATGCAAATCCACTTATTTATACACATTTATATCTACACAACTGTTCTAATTCCTCGAGGTGGCCAGATGCCAGTGTAACTAGTTGAATTTGGAAGATCAACCAGTGCACAATGAAATGAGGTGAAGACTAAATTCAGTCTGTGGCCTCTCCAAATGCATTAAGTTAGTTATCGATGAGCAGACTTTGGAGGGCACGAATAACAGTGCTCCAATAAGCAATATTATATATATAAAATATAATTTTATAATAGGAATTGTCTCCCACTGTTCCAGCCATTAATTCCTGAATAAGAAAGACATGGGGTCAGATGACTGGGATTTGGGATATTTCAATGGTTGAGTTTGTGGATGCAAAAGTACAAATTACTGAAGGCTGGCCAAAACCACATCATGAAACCCCTAATTACTCATGCCGCCAAGTGGCATTTTAGCACAGATAATACAAAAATGAATATCCAAGATGTCATTTATCTTTGGTTTTGGGTTATGTGCTATGACTGTTTCTTTTTGCATCATATTTTCCACATTCAATATTATTATTATTATCATTATTATTAACTTTACATCACCTCACAGCATTGCAGAATTGCAGAGACAGAGGAGATTTGGTGGATTAGTTGGTCTCATAATTTTCAAACTGTTTATTGAAGGTTCAGTGTTCTGGAAAGAAGTCTTGGGGAGTAAGGGAAGGACAATTGGGGATGCAGGTCCCGTGTTATACAGATTGCAAACTGAGTCCCAGGGAGGAAGTGAGACCTCCTAAGCTGGTTAGTGCCACAGCTGGTACTAGAACCTTGATCTTCTGGTTCTTAGAAAAAACAAGTATCTATGGTTTTAAGGTTTAAGGGGATCATTCCAAAAATGCAAACCAATCTCAAAACCTGACTAATAAAACTCATAGAGCTTTGAAAGGTTTGGTCCAAGAATCACAGCAAAAACATTTCAAATACAAAATGTTTAATAGTGGTTTTAGACATTTGAGTTATCATCTATTTTACTCTATCAAAATTGGTCTGCAAATGTGGGGTTAGAAAAATACAGAGATCAAGCAGGGCACAGTGGCTCATGCCTGTAATCCCAGCACTTTGGGAAGCCAAGGAGGGAGGATCACCTGAAGTCAGGAGTTCAAGACCAGCCTGGACAACATGGTGAAACACTGTCTCTAGCAAAAATACAAAAATTAGCTGGGCATGGTGGCAGGTGCCTATAATCCCAGCTTCTAGGGAGGCTGAGTTAGGAGAATCACTTGAACCTGGGAAGCAGAAGTTGCAGTGAGCCGAGATTGCATCACTGCACTCCAGCCTGGGCGACAGAGTAAGACTCTGTCTAAAAAAAAAAAAAAATGAAGAAAAATACAGGATCAAGTGTGTCAGCCAAACTGCTGACCAGTGCTGACCAGTGCAGTGTGTTTCTGTGTATGTGTGTCTGTGTATGTATGAAGTATGTGTCTGTTTGGTAGGTGTTTGTTTATGTGCATATGACTTGTGTGTGGACTGTGTGTGAGTGGAGTGTGTGTGTGGTATGTGTGTCTGTAGGGTGTGGATGTTAAGTAAGTGTATGGCAGTATGGGTGGTACACGTATGTACAGAGCATGTGTATGTTTGTGGGTATGCACAAGCAGTGTGACTGTGTGATATATGTGTCTGTAAGGTGTGAATGTTAAGTATGTGCACGGCTGTGTGTACATGTGTTTATAGAGTATATGTATGTTATGTATATGGGTATGTACATGCAATGTGACTATATAATGCATATGTGTTTGTGTGTGGTGTGCATGTGTGTCTGTGTGGAAGGTGTGTGTGAATGTGTGTGTGTATATGTAAGCATGTGTGTTGTGTATATGTCTGCATGGTTCTTTTGTGTTTGTGTGAGTGTGGTGTCTGGATATGAAGTGTGTGAGATGTGTGTGCAGTGTGGATGTATGTTATGTGTATAGGTGTGTGTTTGTGAATATTTGTGTACAGTATGTGTAGTGTGGGGGTCTTGGGTGTGTGTGCATGTGCAAGAGAGAGAGATGAGAGAAAAATTCAGAGTCATACTGAGAGACATAAAAACAGAATGTCACAGACAGAATAAGAAAAAGATCTGTGGCCGGGCACGGTGGCTCACGCCTGTAATCCCAGCACTTTGGGAGTCCAAGGTGGGTGGATCACGAGGTCGGGAGTTCAAGGCCAGCCTGGCCAAGATGGTGAAACCCTGTCTCTACTAAAAATACAAAAATTAGCCGGGTGTGGTGGCGGGCACCTGTATTCCCAGCTACTCGGGAGGCAGAGGCAGAGAATTGCTTGAAACTGGGAGGCAGAGGTTGCAGTGAGCCGAGACTGCACCACTGCACTCCAGCCTGGGCAACAGAGCAAGACTCCATCTCAAAAGAAAAAAAAAAAAAGATTTGTGATAGTCCCTAAATGGTAAAAATAAAAACACCCTCCTAGCTCTGAAGAGAGAAGGATCAAGATTCCCATCCTGGCTCCACCGCATACTGGTGCAAGATTTAGGGCAAGACTTGCCAGCTCTTCACGGTACTACTTCTTCTTCAGTAAAATACATAAATAATACAATATCTTTCTGGGAGACTTGTGTTGAGAATTTCATGAGATAATATACAGAAAGTGTTTCAGAGAATGCCCAATGCATAAGTAGGTGTTTAAGAAATGGGAGCTATTATTATTGCTATGATTATTTTAATTATGTCTACTTTTATTACTATTATATATATATATATATTTTTTTTATGAGATGGAGTCTTGGTGTGTCACCCAAGCTGGAGTGCAATGGCGCGATCTTGGCTCACTGAAACATCCACCTCCCGGGTTCAAGCAATTCTCCTGCCTCAGCCTCCCAAGTAGCTGGGATTACAGGTACCTGCCACCATGCCTGGTTAATTTTTTTGTATTTTTAGTAGAGACAGGGTTTCACCATGTTGGTCAGTCTGGTCTTGAACTCCTGACTTCAAGTGATCCACCCGCCTTGGCCTCCCAAATTGCTGAGATTATAGCCACCGCCCCCGGCCTTATTACTATTATTACTCAATTATATGCCACTTGTTCAAAATTGAAAATTTCCCACAAGGTAGACTGTTTTCCAGCCCCCACCATTCACTCTTTTATTTGCTGGCAACGTGTTTCTAGAATTGTTTGACTTTCTATAAAAGTCTCCATATATTTCAGGAGTAATTTTCAAGTACAGTAACTCTCAAATGTAGGATGCCATTGCTGTCATTGCATTGATTATTGAGAAAATAAATAAATAGCAAAACAATGCAAGGAATAGTCATCATATCCCGAGTTTCCAGATGCACGATCTTCTCTCAGTGAAAGGAATGAAATTCTTTTTTCATCTTTCAGACTTGGCTTATTAAAGTAATTTCCACCAAGTTGTTTCTGGCAGTTAATAAGGAGAATTTTAATTCACAGAGGAAACAGAGGAAAGGGGAAGGAAGCGAATATCTGCCTTCTATAAATCAGACTCTTTAAGGCATTGATTTCATTAAATATTTAAAATAATCCAATGATGTTCAGATTAGCGTCTCCATGTTACACAGCAGGACAGTGCGACTTCAGATGATAAAACTTCCTGCCTAATGTGACACAGCCAGAAAATGGCAGAGTGAAGCCACACTGCTTGGGCCCACCCAAGAATTTAATCTTCTCAGCCAAGAGCATTAAGAAAAATAACAAACAAAAGAGGTGGCATGATTCCATCCAGGAAAGACAGTAGCACCTGAAAATCCAGAATTTTCAGGGTGTGGTTCCATGGGCAGCTTAAAGGGAACACAATGGCCCCCACCAAGGTGGCTTGTTTCACTTTCCTTGTCTTCTCCACAGACCAGCAGAAGGCCCCACCGGAGATAAAGCTCAGAATGTACAAATCCCAAATTTACCCAGCCCAGGAATATCCAGAGACCAATAACTTCCTGGTCTCCCAATCTGGCGGTCTCCTTTTCTTTGATAACCACCCCAGTTGTTTTCATTTCTCATTTCTTTTTCTTGCATGTAACCATTGGCTTGTTTCCATGCCACCCAGCTCCTACAATAGAAGCGATGTGAGATTTTCTGCTACAGCAACATTCTTCGGGTGTTAAAGTTGCTTTGTTTTAAAAAGCCTGATGGTGGCTTAGCCACAGAAGAATGAACATGACGCCTTGGCTCCTTGCTGGGGAGGCACCCGTGGGATGGTGTCACCTGTCACTGGGAGACAAAGAAAGTCGTGCTCTGTCACTCTTTGGGTGGCAATTCTGTTGAAGTCACTGACCCTGCTTCCTCAAATTTTGCCTCTGCATC
Source organism: Homo sapiens (assembly GCF_000001405.40). NCBI lineage: Eukaryota > Metazoa > Chordata > Mammalia > Primates > Hominidae > Homo > Homo sapiens. The sequence continues at coordinate 114,949,447 of NC_000012.12, forward strand.
TGATGGGGTGCAGGCTTTTTTAGGGTTCTTTTCCAGATGTCTTTTGTGAACACCACCCTCTGAGACAGAGATATGGGGTTTTAGGATACCTGCTTTAGTGCCTTTTATGACTTCATCTTTCTGCTTGCTGCTCTTGAGAAAATGGACTTCACACAATAGGGAGATTTATGACTCTTCCTAGCAGCTTTCACAGAAAGAGTTAGCAGAGTGAATGAGGAAACGTCTTTTCTCTTTTTGCCCATACCAGCATTTCGGGGTGTGAAGACAGTGTGCTGAGTCTTCTTGTTTATAAATCTACTTTCCATGAGCCTTCAGATAAAGGAGAACTAGTTTTATTTAAAGCAAGCTAATAGTGTTAATTATGAGAAATATGATAAAGTTTTTTAAAAACCCTAGTGATTAACAAAAGACCAATACTGAAATTATAAAGAAGAAAATTCTAGAATCTTCCTTGGTGACACTCAATTCATGTGTAATCCAAATACCCAAGCATTTGGTATTGCATTCTACAATTATTTGTCAAATGTCTGCTACACATTAGGCATTGTGATAGGCAGCAGATACACAAGAACAAACCAGATAGGCGTGGTTTCTCAGGGAGCTGATTAGCTACTGAAGAGGACAGACACCTAGACGCTACACAATAAATTTGGTCTATTGAAGAGAGGGTCCTAACTCACTGGAAATCAATGAGAGTGCTCAGGATGAAGTGATGCTCAGAGACTCCTGTACCTTGTCCTCTTTCTCCATTGTGTTGGGCCCAAGATTAAATGGTAACATCAAAAAGCTTAATTCTCTAACCCAGGAGATTCCATGATCATGAAGGTGATGATAAACCCTTTCAGCTCGGGACCATCCATCATATCATGACACTCAGAGGTGATGTCAAATCTTTGATATCAAATTTTTTTTGAAGTTCATTTTCTGTCATGATATAATTGTTGGGTCTAGGTCTGCCTTTCTATTTTATATTGGAGAGTATTCGGTGATGGAGGGGTGTGTGTGTATGTGTGTGTGTGTGTGTGTGTGTGTGTGTCTTTATTTTTTTCTTTTCTGTAGCTTAGATCTTGGTTACAAAATAACTGTAATATAGCCTATTAACCACACTTTATTGTAGGGTTTTAAGAGCTACAAGGAAGTATTCAATCCTGCCACATTTCTGCATACTTATAGGGAGAAAGGATGGATACTTTCATTATTGCTGTTATCAGAAGAAAAAGAGTAAGAAATACTTACTTTTGTTCCTCATTCTTCAACCCATTTAAGATTTTGAATACCCATGCACAGGGAAAAAAACCTATCATGAATTAGTAGATAATAGTGAAGTATATTCCACATACCATATAACCAAACATTTGTATCAAATATCCATATGCCTTTGGGAAAGCTGCCTCCTCTTTTTGTACTTAATTTTGTAATTGTGAAACCAGGAGGATGCACTAGGTAATCTCAAAATTTATTTCTACTTCTAAAATTTCAAGTCCATGCCTCAGACCTTAACACATCTCATGACATTAAGATATTCTAAGTCCTAGCCCAGAGGCACTTCCAAATGACTTTTGATGTATAATACCAGATAAAGCAACTGGGTGAATTTTAAAATATGACCTTAAGTAAAGCTGCAAAGAAAACCCTAAACAGCTCCATCTCTGAGGTTCCATCCTCTCTTAGAAGACTGAGATGTCCTCCTATAATCCAGGTGTAAAAATATTCCAGGGGATGCTTTGAGAGACAGGCAAGAGAAGGTAGAGAGGGAGAGATGAGGACTTGTCAAAGCAGACACAAACGAATGTGCAACCATTGACTGACTGAATGGGTCAGTTGACCGACGAAGTTTTTATCTCTAATCTGGGAAGCGATTCAATCACCAAAGCGGAGTAAGAAAATCCTTCTCTACTAAGATGGAACAAGTGCTAAAAGTGGTATTCAAAGCACAAGTTTCAAATCCTGCCACCTCCTGACATATATACACTTGCTATGTAACCTTGGTGGGTTTAAGTAATTTCTTTGACCTTCAGATGATGATGATAATGATGATGATGAATAGAGGTAGGGTCTTGCTATGTTGTCCAGGCTGGTCTTGAACTTCCAGCCTCAAGCAATCCTCCTGACTCAGCCTCCTGAGTAGCTGGGATTATAGGCCACTGTGTCCAGTCTTCAGATTATTAAATTGGTAAGAGTTTTTTGTGAGAATGCAATGAGATCATATATTTAAGAGTTATTGGCTCATAGTGCATGCTCAATGAAAATGCTGACTCTAATTAGAATAATGATTTTGCTATGGTCTGAAAGTTTGCGTCCCCTCCAAATTCATATGTTGAAATCCTAAGCCCCAAGGTAAAAATATTAGGACATAGGGCCTTTGGGAAGTTATTAAGTTGGGAGAGGAGAGTACTCATGAATAGGATTAGTGCCTTTATTAAGGAGGCCCAAGGGAGCTCATTTGTCCCTTCTGCCAAGTGAAAGTATAGCAAAAAGATGGCTGTCTATAAACCAGGAAGTGGCCCTCACCAAACACTGAATCTGGGGGTACCTTGATCTTGGACTTCTGTTCTCCAGAACTGTGAGAAATAAATTGCTGTTGCTTATAAGCTGTGCAATTTATAGTGGTTTATTATAGCAGCCCGAATGCAGGGAGATTTCTTCACTCAAACCCCCCGAGAAGCAGTGGAACAACTTGGTAGTAAAAGTAGGTAAGAATGGGAGCAGCCAGTTCATGTTTACTCAAACGCACTGCACCCTCTCTCTCACCTCACACCTGTGTTTCATTCTTTCAAGTCTTCCCATCTACACTCTGCCTTTCTTGAGATCAGATGCTGTCCCCTGTACTTGAGCACTCTTCCCTCACTTCTTTTACCTAGTGAGCTCTTATTTTTATTCTCCAGGCCTCAATTTAGATATCTCCAGCTTTCTCTAAGATTCCCTCCCTGCCCTCCCCCACCAAGCCCAGGTTACCACCCGCAGTGTGGTCTCCTGCACCCTCTATGTGCCCTCCTTAGAACTCTTAACCTGCCATGTTGCTACGGTCTGTCCCACACCTCTCTTTCCCACCAGACCTTAAGGAAAAGAAGGACCAAGCCTGGATGTTTCCACTGTTCAATCTCCAGCACTCAGTCCAGTTTTAGAGGAGAACAGACCCTCAACATATACTTGCTGGTTGAGAAAAGAGAGGCCTTCTCAGTACCACAGGAAGAGTCTAGGGAGGTGAGTACAAAATGGCGGCCACAGATTCTTCACAAGGGGGAAGAGATTCCTTGGCCTGCTGACCTTTGCCCCCTCTCCAGCCACCCCTGAAGATTCCATTCCAAGTCCTGGCACCATCAGATAGTGAACTTTTTGATGGAGGCTTCCCACTTGCAGCAGAGAAGGCCCTCCACTCCACCCACAGAAGGCCTGCTTCTCCCAGCTCCCCAGGCCTCACTCCTTGCGTGGTGCCTCCCGTCCATTTTCCAGTCTGGGGCCGTGTCTGCTCTTGGAGTCAGGAGGGGAATGTCTGCGCCTTCTGCAGAGACACAGCGAGGGAACATGACGTCTCCCTCTGGCCCCAACCCCGAGCGTCATTGGTGTTGGCCTGAGATCAAAGCCGCTGTTCCATTTTTAACCTCGGTAGGGCCCCACCTCACCCTGAGCATGTGTTCCTGACATTTCATTGTGAGCCAGGGGAATAAACAAAACCCACCCCCTGAGTCTAGCGAAGGACGCCTTCAGGGGAGCTCTGAACTCGGCGAGGCAGATAAGTGTTTTTCCCACCGAGGGCCCCCCTTGTGCACTGCGGTTTTTCCTGAGCTTACATGACACCACCGTAAGGGAGATGGATGGCTTTATTTTTGTGCAGAACAAATGTACAGATGGTGACCCCCGACCAAAAAAAAAAAAGAAAAAAACTTAGTGTGCAGAGGCAGGGAGGAGGAGGCAGGGAGGAGGAGGCAGGGGGAGTCCATGTTGGCCTCTCCTCTCCCTATCTTTTCACTTCTCCTGGGTCTCCCGAAAATGTCACCAAAGTCTCCATCTGTGGTTATTGGGGATATTGACAGGAGCCCATTTTATTTTCAAATTATCTGTTCTTTGAGGTAAAAATAAAGACATGCTTTTAGAATTTTCAAGCAATTAAAAAAAGATATAAGGAAGAAAGATATGTCTGGTACAAATTAGAACTCAATAAATACTTGTGGAAGGAAGGAAAGAAAAAAATCCCTCCAAACTCCACCACTATCAATATTTTGCTGAGCATCCTTCTATATATTTATGTGTATTCCAACTATGTAACAAACAGGATCATACTATATTCATGTATAATATATTCGTATTTTCTATATATGCGTAATAAATGCAGTACAATTGCTACTATAGTTACTATTTCCTGCTGTATTTACACAGAATGATTACTATGTATATGAACATCATACGTTTATATTGTATACACACACATATAGTATCTACTACATCACACTGTACTATACTCTATTGTACTATAGTATATGCTACAATGTTTTTTTTTGTTGTTGTTATTTTTTGAGATGGAGCCTCACTCTGTTGCCCAGGCTGGGGTGCAGTGGTGCAATCTTGGCTCACTGCAACCTCCACCTCCCAGGTTCAAGCAATTCTCCTGCCTCAGACTCCTGAGTAGCTGGGATTACAAGCATGTGCCACCGTGCCTGGCTAATTTTTCTATTTTTAGTAGAGACAGCCAGGCTACTCTTGAACTCCTGACCTCGGGTGATCTGCTCACCATGGCCTCCCAAAGTGCTGGGATTACAGGAGTGACCCACTACACCCCACCAGTATATGCTACTATGCTCTAAAAAGTGCAGTAGTATGTTCCTATTGTACTTACTTACAGGATCATACTGTTTGAGGTGTTTCACTGTTGGCTTGTTTACCATGTCCTGGACATCTTTCCATGTCTATGAATTTTAAAACAAATTCATCCCATTTCAAGGCTGCCAAGTAGCTATTTGTGTGGCTGTGCTATCACTTAACCACTCCAAGAGAGCCACTTATGAAACCCCCACCTTAAAGTAAGCTCATACTTTTAATTTTTTTTTTCTCTTATGACTCTACCTTTCTGCTGTCTTGTAAGCCATACCCATTCGAGGTTAGAGTTTTCTACTTCCTCAACTGCAAAGTTGTCAGTATCAGGACAAGCGGTGCACATTTGCAGAAACCCTTTTGGATTTCTCTGTGGTGCTTTGGCTTGAAGAAAACAGTCCTCTCCTTTCTGCCTTCACCCACCTAATTTGTTTCCACATTTGTTTTTTTTTGTGGTGGCAATGACTGTATCAGGCTTTAAAAGGATGGTGTCTGGAGATTCATAGCTTTTCAAAAGCTCTTTGTTTTTTTCTGATGAACAGCCAGAACTAAGACACAGGAAGGCATAGAAAGAACATGGCCTCTCATGTTCAAAGGAGCCAAATTCTTGTTCGACCTTTGACCTCCCATGAAACAGTTTCCTCATCTGCAAAACTGCGGAGATTATAACTGAAGCCGCCTTGCAGTGTTATGAGGATTACAGTAAGCAAGTGCCTGACACACAGAACTCCTTAGCAATGTCAGCTTCTCTTTCTGAGAGCGTGTGAGGCAGGAGATGAAAGGTTTTGGAATTAACCATGTCTAGGTTTGAATCTGAGCTCAACCTTTTTCTATTTTTTATTATTTGTTTATTTTTAAAATTCTTTAAAAAATTTTTTTTGTTTTTATTTTTATGTTTTGAGACAGAGTCTTGCTCTATCACCCAGGCTGGAGTGCAGTGGCACAATCCCAGCTCACTGCAGCCTTTACCTCCCGGGCTCAAGCAATCCCCCCACTTTAGCCTCCTGAGTAGCTGGGACTACAGGCATGCACCACCATGCCTGGTTAATTTTTTTTTTTTTTTTTTTTGGTAAAGACAGGATCTCACTATGTTGCCCCAGGCAGGTCCCAAGCTCCTGGTCTCAATCTGTCCTCCCGCCTTGGCCTCCCAAAGTGCTGAGATTACAGACGAGAGCCATGGTGCCTGATCCTTTTTAAATTCTTTTGTAGAGACAGAGGTCTCACTTACTATGCTGCCTAGGCTGGTCTCAAACTCCTGGCCTCTAGCAATCCTCCAGTTTAGGCCTCCCAAAGTGCTGGGATTACAGGCATGAGTCACCATATATGGCCTTCAACTTCTCTCCAGATAAGTGACTTAACCCCTTTAAGTTTCTGTTTTCTTTCTGTCAATTGGAGTTAAAATACTCATGAGACAGCAGTCATAAGGCTTACAGATACTGTCTGCAAAGGGCCTGGATCAGGGCTCTTAAGTGGGAGCTGCTCTTATGATTCATTAGATTCTGACTCTTATCTCCAAACTTCAGGAAAAGCTTGAACTATCTTTTATTTACACATCAGTGGTCATGTTTTAGATGCCTATTTACATGTAGAAAATGTTGGGACAAAATTCAGAAACTTCATTATAATCCTGCCTTTCTTATTTACTTCCTGAAAGACCTTCAACAAGGCACCCTGGTTCCTACTTTTCTCGTTTCCCTAAACTGTTGATGCTGTTTGTAATAAAAACACCACTGAATATATCCTTGGTACTTAACAGTTTACAAAACATCTTTCATTATCCTTATACTATATTAACTTCCTAGCTACTGGGCCAAAGTTTACCAGTACACATTTAATACATCAATATTCTATCAACTTCAGAGCCCCTTTAAAATATGTTTTTTTTTTCTTTCTTAGAAAGCGAGTTATGGGCAAAGGGGTGAGAGTGGGTGTTAATATTTCCTGGGTTCTTCAGAGTACTTCCTTATTCATCCAACTAGCATTGTGTAATTGCTAGTAACATACTAGTTACTGTCCTACAATCTGAGGATGGAATAAGGTATTGTCATGACTTTCAAAAGTCTCCTTGGCTGGGCATAGTGGCTCACACCTGTAATCCTAGCACTTTGGGAGGCTGAGGCAGGAGGATCGCCTGAGCCCAAGAGTTTGAGACCAGCCTGGGCAACACAGCAAGGCCCCACCTCTGCAAAGAAAGTGGCACCCACCTGTGGTCCCATCTACTTGGGAGGCTGAGGTAGGAGGTTTGCTTGGGGCCAGGAGGTTAAGGCTACAGTGAGCCATGATCGTGCCACCACACTTCAGCCTGGGCAACCAAGCAAGACCCTGTCTAAAAAAAAAAAAAAAAAAACTCCTTTTTAAATGGGAAAGATATACATGTACACTGGAGCATGGAAAATATTCTAATCAAGATGTGCAGGGTAAAGTTGAAATACTAATGAGCAGATCTCTGACCCTCGGGGTGGAGGCCAGTGTTAGAAAAGATTTTAGGACAAGAAAATTCTTGAGTTCATCTTCAATGAAAAGAGTTCATTTCATCCAAATGGGGCTGACGGGGGCAGAGGAAATGGGGGTCAGGAAGGGAGTTTTTGGAAGACAGTGCAGTGTGTTTAAAGGCTTGGAGGCAGGCTCCACTCTGGTGTTTTTCAGGGGACTCCAAGAAGTCTATAGAGAGGTTGTGGGGGTGAGCAGGAGATGAAGCCAAAACTGTTAGCAGTGGCCAGAACTTGGAGAACCTTGTATTCCCTGTTGAAGAATCTGGGCTCTTCTGAGAGCAATGGTGGGTTTTACACGGGGGAATAGGATGACCCAAATTGTGTTTCTGGATGGCTGGATTTAAGGTGGTGACACAGAGGCAGGATTTGGGTTGAAGTGGTTTATTTGGGATGTGATCCCGGGAAGCAACCGCAGGGATGGGGAAGTGAGATACGGAAGGAGAGAAAACCAATGAAGGCTGCACTGTAGTGAAGGCTGCACCACCAGGGCAAGGGAAGCCCTATTCCTCCCTGTTCACACGCACAGGCACACATACACATACACACGCCCTATTGGGTCTGTTTCTCTGGAGAACTCTGAAAAATACAAAAAGTAAATATTCTTTGTATGTAAGTCCTCTGAATACAGAAATGGTCACATGACACAAGCCTAGACAATCAGAGTCCTGCACTGGCTCCTCTGCCCTTTGCATCCTTTAATCTCTCCCACTGGTGCCATCAGAGCCCGTGCTGAGTCTGGCTTTGAAGAGGATTGAAGAATTGGGTTAGAACTCCATCTGATGCTGACCTGGCCTGACCTCCAAACACTGCTTCTCCCACTGCGCCTAAGATTAAGGAACTACCTCCGTGTGTGGGGGAGAGCTGTCCCACCTACCTGAATGCTCACTGTAGAGGGTTTAACTCTTGTTTTTGTTTCTTCATAATTCATTCTCTCATTCTTTGTCTTGATTCTCCTTCCACGATGCTCCCTATGCCGTTTTTTTTTCTGAATATATAAGTAATATATTTTCTTTGTTGAAAATTCAGAAAATACGAAAAAGACTTTAGAAGAAAGTAAGTATCACCCATAACCCAACACTGAGCAGTAATAACCACTCTAACATTTAGGTATATTTTCTTCTTTTTTCTATGCATTTATGTTTTTTTTTAATTAAGATTGTACTATATATATATAACTTGTTTTTAAAATATTTAATTTTTGAACAGACAATATATTTTACATGGCTAAATAATCAAAAAGTGTAAAATTGTATACAGTGAAAAGTCTTGCTCCCTTCTGATCACATAAGTAATTACCATTTATCAGTTTCCTTACAGAGATTTTGTTTTAAATGTTTTTAGAGACAGGGTCTCACGTTGTTGCCCAGGCTGGTCTCAAGCTCCTGGCCTCAAGCAGCCTCCTACCTTGGCTCCCAAGGTGCTGGGATTACAGGCATGAGCCACTATACCCAGCCCTTCCAGAGAATTTTTATGCTTATTAAAAGCAATTATGAATAATTTTCTTTGCTATACCTGCAAGTTTTTAATATAAATAGCACACCGTAGTAACTATTCTGCATCTTGCCTTTTTCACTTAATATATGCTATAATTCATCCCAAATCATTACATAAAGAGCTGCTTCATTCTTTTTTACAGCTGTCATTTTATAATATTCCATTGTATGTATGTACCATCATTTATTTAGCCAGTCCCCTGGTGAATGGATATTTAGATTGTTTCCAATCATTTGCTATTAGTAACAGTGTTTGTATATAGATTATTTTGCCCTTTACTGTAAGATAAATTCCTAGAATTCTTAAAGGGTATGTGCATTTGAATTTTGATAGCTGTTGCTAAATTGTCCTCCAGGAAGTTATATATATATAAGTGCCCTCACCAGAGGCCAGGTGCAGTGGCTCACACCTGTAATCTCAGCACTTTGCAGGGGATGCTCCCTATGCCATTCTTCGCCCATTTGACTTTAGGTACAGTCTCAGTAATCGGGCAGAATCACGTGACTCAGCCTAACCAATAAGAGTTCCACTTCCCTATGGCCATGGTGATCGGTGCAAAGCTGAGCACATAATCTAAGTTGCCACAGTCAGAGCCAATGAGGGGAGGCCCCTGGGTTTTCACTGAAACTATTGGACAACTGGAGTTCTCTTTCTGCTGGGTTTGCCAGGCTAGTGGGCTATAAGGATGAAGCTGCCATCTTGAGAATAAATTCAATCCAGTAGAAAATAAAACTAAAAGATGGGGAGAGAAACTAAAGCTTGATGATATCATTTGAGTACCTGAATTCAATCATACCTGAAAGCAGACAACTCCACCCCTAGACTTTTAAATTATGTGAATCAATAAATTATTTTTATTTCCTTAAACCCATTGAGTTGGGTTTCTGTCTCTTGCAAACATGGAGGTCCTAGCTAAAGAACTAATCAAACCTTTGGGGAATAGCCCTGGCTTTCAGCAGCCTCAGGTTCCCTTTTTCTAGGGGATGAGAATCTGATACGTTGGAATCTTGAACCATCCAAATAATAACTGCTACAGCCTCAGCAACAACTACCATTTATTGAGTGCTTCCATATATTACATCACTAATTACACTCCTAGGCACTATTATTATTAATTATTACTATTATTATTTTGAAATAGGGTCTGGGTCTGTTGCCCAGGCTGGAGTACAGCGGCATGATCTCGTCTCACTGCAACCTCCGCCTCCCCCATTTTATAAATGAAGAAATTGAGGCTCAGAGAAGTTTAGCAACTTGGCCAAGGCCACACAGCTGGTAAATGACTTCACAACCAAATTCAGGCCTATCTGTCTCCTGACTGCAAGGTTGATCTCACTTTTCCTTGCTTTCTTCCTTAGGAATTGAAAGCTCCCTGATGAATGGACAGAGATGTGAGTTGAACTTTGCTAAATACCCATTAAGCATTAAGTAATAGTGTCCCTTCATTACCAAGGTGTTAGGTTAGGTCAACAAACAGACAAGAGAAAGGTCATGCTCTCACTCTGTGCTTTTCTCCCAGCCTATCTACTGGAATACCAGCCTTGCTTGGAGAATGGCCTGTTACCAGATACTCTCCTCATCTTGGGGTTTCTGTATACAATCTTATTTCCTGCCATAAGTGGAACCTCCATTATCAGGGCCGTAGCAAAGTCTGCCCCATAAAGCATGTGCGCATAAACTCTGTCTCCTGAGCCCCCAGAATCTAGACTATCAGGTGTATGTATCCAAATATCTCAGAAGGCTTTGAAACATTAATCCATTTGCTCCTAAGTCCTGGGTAACCACATGCAACAAAAATGGGGAAAGGGTCCTATCTTGTGGCTTTTCAAGATTAAAGATCTTGATAGCATTGAGTGGTGCCCAGCCATTGAGGGGCCATTTGACAGAGCTGCTGCACCAGCAGATGCAGAGTTAAATACCAGGCTTGTGTCCCCAGATCAGTTGTTGCAATCAGAGATGTTAAAACCATTCCAGTCTTCCAAAAAAAAAAAAAAAAAAAAAAAGAATAATTCCCAGTCAGGCTGGTGTCAATGTTTTGCTAATGGTTTTAATGGCTGTTTCTACAAACTTGCAGAATGCTTCTATTCCTCAGTTTGGTTTTAGCTACCTATTTTGTGAACTCTGCTTGGGCAAGGGGGAAGATAAGGGTGTGGGAGAAGGTACCCCTGGGAACAATGGGGAAATATTAAACGACTGATTCCCAACTGGTCTCCCAGAGGATGCCTCATGGTTCTCTGAGACCTAGAGATTGAAGAGAAGGGGCTGAGATTCTCCATGTGTGGTCTAATGACAACGCCAACCTGAGAAAATACACTAGATTCCCCTAGAAATATTTCCAAGGGGTGTAGTGTAGCTGAATCAGAAGCCTGGATTAGAGACCCATCTCTGACACTGGCTGGCCTTAGAGACATCATTTATTTCCCTGAGCCTCGGTTTCTCCATCTGTTACAATTAAGCTGGATCAGTGGTTCCCAAATTCCATCTTTAGCATTTCTACGTGAGAATCACCTGGGGAAAAGGGTGTTATAATACGGATTCCTAGACCCTAGCCTTATTCAGTCAGAATCTACAAGCCAAGGCCTATGAATCTGTATTTTTTGCAGGCTTCCCCAGGAGATTCTTAAGCAAGGCCAGGTTTGGAGATTACCAAACTGGATCAACCCACAGTCCCCTCCCACCTTAGCATTCTGAGAGAACAATTTGGGGACACGTGTTGGGGTTTTCTGTTCTCTGTTGGAAGAGAGTTGCCTTGTTGGCTTCTTGGCTTTCCTGATAACTTCTCCCAGTTTCACCCACCTTTAAACAGAAAACATTATGGGTGCCCTGAAGGGAAATAAAAGCAAAGAAGTCTCACGTTTTTGGTTTCAAGAGAGAACTTTACCTTCCATTCTCACGCTGTGATTGTTTTATGGGCCCTTAGTAAGACATAACCCAAATCAACTTTCTTAAACCCAGCTACATGGAAACTATGCTGGAGAGTGTATAGGCTCAAAGAAGAACTAAATGAAGAGTCTTCGGGTTGTAGAAGAGTCTACAACACAAAGAACTAAATGAAAACTCCATTGTCAGGCTGTTAACTGCAAATGGCACCACACGTAAACATTTACTGAGCACTTCCTCTGGGCCAAGAACTTCACGTAAATTATTCCTTTCCATCTTCCTATCCCAAGAAGTAGATGCTATTATTTCACCCCCATTTTACATTTGAGGAAGTTGAGGTACACACAGGCTAAGTTATTTGCTCAAGTTTCCCTTGCTCGTGAAGTGCGGGAGCTGTAATTACGAGCCCAAACAGATGACAAAACAACCCTTTGTGTAAAAAGAGATAGTTCATGCATTGTCCAGAAAAGTTTAGAGGGTGTAGACTCCAGCCTTTAATTCCCTTTTTCTAAGAATTGTTGTCCAAGCAAAATAAACGGAACTCGTAATAGCTCATTGTGCTGTTGGCCCTGCTATCTCACATGTCCGGCATTCCATTATCCCACCTGGCAGCTGCTCCCTTCACTAAAGGGAGCTGGGGACATTAGCAACGGAATATTTTTTTTAATTATAGAAGGGGGATTGTTTAGACTGATCCAAGGGCCATAACATGGAATAATAGAGTGACAGGTTGAGAGCAATTTTGCCAGACCAAGAAAGGACTGATTTCACGATTATTTTGGTAATTCTGCTACCCACCACGTTTAACATAATGCTGAGATTTATAGTGTCATGGGATCTAGGTGGGATTTGATCACTCTTGGCTTCAGTTTACCACTGACCAGAATGCATGCCACATTTATTTAGCATGTCATTTTTGTGCAAAGTCCCAAATGGAGGAGAGCAAAGCATGCTAAGCTAAGAATCCAGGCCTTTGTTCTCTGTGTGGATGAGGACTACCACCTTCTACGATCTTAATCTCAGTTTTTCCATCTGTACAATGGGATGATTGGATTGGAAGATTCCCAAACTCTTTTCAACTCTGACATTTGATTTACTTTGATTCAGTTCTATTCAGCCAATATTCACAGAGCAGCTGCTCAATGCCAGGCCTTTAAGTGGGAACCTGGGGACACAGTAAAAATAGCAATGGCCATCATACCTGGTTTGTAGGTAGGTGTTTGATAGGGCCAAGAGGATGGAACAGGGAGCAAGACACCCACCTCTGCATTGTGCAACTGGGTGACTTTGGGTGAGCCACCTGACGTCTTTGAGCTTGTTCTTCATGTTGTGAGGCTTACAGAAAGAAGTTTCTCAAAGTGTGGTCAGATGACTCTCTGGATTGGCAAAACCTTTGGTACTTGTCGACAACTCAAATCCCTGGATCCAAGTTCAGGCCTGCTGAATCAGAATCTCTTGGGGGAGGAGGCAGGTATCCATTTCAACAAAGACCCCAAAGTGATTCTTAAATACATTGACATGTATTTAAGATAATATGTTAAAGTTTCTCACAATTTTTGAGCAAGGGCTCCATGCACATTTGATGACTTTTACCAACAAATGCATTGGAAAACCTTTGCTTTCAATCACACTCTACTCCACTGCCCCTGTAGGTTTTCTGTTTGTTTATAAATATGTTTGTGTACATAAACACACACACACATCTATATATTTACATATATATATTAAAGCTATATTATTGAAGACTTATTATATACCAGAAATTTTACTTACATAGAAGTGTATTATTGAAATGTGGAATGTGAGCTTCAGAGAGGTTAAATAGCTTGCTTATGATCATGCATTTAGTAAGAGATAGAGCCAGGTTGTGAACCCAGGTCCATCTGACTCCAAAGCTTGTTTAGACTGCCTCTTGATCTGTCTTAACCAAGGCTACCATGATGACCATCTCCAGGTGGCTCTATTCACATGAACTACAACAGGAACAGTGTCCCTGGAGTGGTACAACAAGGGTGTCCTGCCAACACTGCCAGTGCTTTACCCCTCTTCTTATTGTCCTTCCCCCATCTGCAACATCCTCTTTAACTCTTAGCTCAAATCTCTTTACTTCTGGATAGTCTCACCTTATAATCCAGTCCCGGGTGATTATGCCTGTATTTTCTTCTCAGTGCTCATGTGTAGCAACTGTAGTGCTTATGGGGAATGGAGTGAGAGTTATCCCTACCTTCCTTACCCCAAACTTTTTTTGGTTCCAGCTCTTTTGTTCTCATTATTTGTTGCTGTATAGCAAACTGCCCCAAACTTAGTGGCTTAAAACAACAACTGTTTCATTGTAACTTATAATTTTGCAGGTTAGGAATTTGGGCAGGGTTCAGCTAGATGATTCTTCTGTTCCATGCAATATTAGCAGAGGGCACTTGGGCTGGTCTAGAGCAGAGGTCAGCAAACTATGGTCTTCAGGCAAAATCCAATCTGGCATCTGTTTTTGTAAATGAAATTTTATTGAAACACAGCCACACTCATTTATTCATGCATTGTGGCTACTTTCATGTTAGAACAGCAGAGTTGATTGGTCATGACAGAGACTATATGGCCTTCCAAGCTTCAAATATTTACTATCTGGCCTTTTACAGAAATAATTTTCTGAACTCTGGTGCCTTGTAGGGACTTGGAGGACCTGGCTAAAACCCAGTTCAGTGAAGACTTAACTGGGCTGCCTACAGATGGCCTCTCCCAAGCACAGAGACCCCAGTGTACTTGAGCTTCTTCCATGGCAGCCGAAGCCTCACAGAAAAAGGAACATTTTCTCTAGAGGCCCACGTGGAACTCAAAAGTCCTTTTATGACTTAGTCTCAGAAGTTTGAGAACGTCCCTTCTGCCACATTCCATTGGTCAACCAAGTCACTAAAGTCAGTTAAGATTCTAAGGGAAGGAATTAGGTTGCATTTCTCAATGAGAGGATTAGCAAAGAATTTGTGGTCAGCTTTAATCTACCACACCTCATTTTTGAAAATCTTTATAAAATTATTGCATCTTCTTTCTTGGCCGGTGATGATCACAATTGAAATCTTCCTTTGGTGATTGAGTACCTGGGGGACACTTGGGGGTCAGCATTTATCCTGCCAATATTTATTGCACTCTTACTAAGTGTCATGCACTCTGTTAGACTCTAGGGATGCAGCAACAAACAGAAAAATGTGGCCCCAACCTCATGAAATTGGCAGTCTAGTGAAAGTAAATAAAAGATATCCAGAAATGAAGTTGAAATGTTCTGGTGGTAAATTTGACTATGCCCTGAGCTGTCCTTTTGACTAAATTTCTGAATCCAGTTTTATTTATTTTTTTGATCCATTCATTTTTCCTAAAAGTGAAATAGAAGAAAGGAATTCCAGTCAATTGATGGTTTCAGATAATCAGAACTTTGGTTCAATACTTTTTATGTTTTCATGGCATTTATGTGGACGTGATGTTTTGTCATTCATATGCTTTGCAATTTACCTTTATTTCAATCTTACTTTTAATTCTACCACATGGATTTTAAATTGTCTCCACTTTTATTACAAGTTCCATGGTGGTGACAGCTATGTTCCTATTTCCCACGGCACCTAAGTCAGGACTCTGAAATAGCAGTGGCTCAATAAATGGTGTAGTACCTACAAAGCTGCAAGTGGAACTACCTTTTGAAAATTTGTAATAAGAAGAGATCAATTCCAGGGCTCAGCTCCAAGGGTCTATTGATGCTTTATAGTTTTTCATTGTCACTGGCTCTAACATGGAAGATTCTCCACATTCCTGTTAGTTGGACCCACAGGTATTTCCTGACAGTCCTGACCTGTTGGCCTACTGGAAGCTGATGTTCCCATGTAACATCCTGATGCCTCAGTGGCTGCGGTCTTAGGGAGAATAGAGGCTTTATTCATCTTTTCCCACATTGATCACATTCTGTCAAATCTCTTCCCCCTCTGGACCCTTCAATGTTGGATATCAATGGTTTCATTGTAATGGTAAGCTCTCATTATCTGAAAATTCCTTTCTGCTCACCTTCCTTTTTTTCCCTTAGCTCTGAGAGGTGGAAGTTTCTTTGTGCGTGTGTATTTTTTCAATCACTCTATCTATATATCCATAAATCTATTTTAATTAAGTATGTCATGCCCAGGAGGTAACAGGTATTTTTTCTGTTCTTTTTTAAATTTTAGGGCTTAAATAAGGGAATTTTAAAAATCCACTTTATGGAAGTATAATTGACCTACAAAAAGCTGTGGATATCTAATGCATACAGCTTGATGGGTTTGGAGATATGTATGTGAAACCATCACCATCTATGTGGTAAACATATTCATCACCTATTAAAGTTTCCTCCCACCTTCTTTATTATTATTATTATTATGATAAGAACACTTAACATAAGTTTTTATTCTTACCAAATTAAAAAATATACAATACAGTATTGCTAATTATAGACACTATGCTATATAGTAGTTCTTTAAGACTTACTCATCTTGCACAGCTAAAACTTTTTACTCTTTAATAATTACTCCCCATTTTCCACCCATTCCTCCATCCCCCAGCTTGGGCAGCCAGCATTCTACTTTGTACTTCTATGAATTTGATTGCTTTAGGTTATTTGTATAAGTGGGATGGTGTAGTATTTGTCCTACTGTGCCCGGCTTATGTCACTTAGCATAATGTCCTCTAGTTTCATTCATGTTATTGAAAATGGCAGGATTTTCTTCTTTTGCAAGGCTGAATAATATTTCGTTGTGTATCTGTACCACATTTTTTTTTATCCATTCATCTGTCTATGGGCATTTACATTGCTTCCATATCTTGGCTATTTTGAATAATGCTGCAATGAACACGAGAATGCAGATTTCTCTTTGAAGTATTGATTGCATTTCTTTTGAGTAATACCTGAAAGTGGGGTTACTGGATCATATAATAGTTTGATTTTTAATTTTTTAAGAAACTTTCATACTGTTCTCATAATGGCTGTATCAGTGTACATTTCCCTCAGCAGCATACATATTCACACCAACATTTGTTAGCTTCTGTCTTTTTTATCATAGCCATTGTAAAAGGTGTGAGGTGATATCTCATCATGGTTTTGATTCTGATTAGTGATATTGCACAGCTTTTCACAAACCTGTTAGCCATTTGAATGTCTTCTCTTGAGAAATGTCTGTACAGTCCTTTGCCCACTTTTTAATTAGTTTATTTGATTTTTGTTACACAGGGTAGGAATTCCTTATATATTTTGGATTGTTAACTCTTTATCATATAAATGGCTTGCAAACATGTTCTCCCGTTCTATAGATTGCCTTTGCATTTTGTGGCTTGTTTCCTTTGCTGTGCAGAAGCTTCTTAGTTTGATGTAGGTTCACTTGTCTATTTTTGCTTTTGTTGCCTATACTTTTGGTTAGGAGGCTGCATTTTATGTGAATCTTCTCAGTGAATTCTCAGAGCAACCTTATGTGTTAACTCCGTGATTAGGCAAGCACTTATTCCCCAGAGTCAGACAGCATAGGAGTCCTTTCCTGGTATCGCATCTCTGAACCTTGATTTTCTTTGAAATGGCATAGCATTACTGAGCTGAAAGACTTGTTCTGAGAATTAAATGAGTTAAAGGCACATAATAAACATCCAACAAATATAGCCTATGATTATTATGTACCACATTTCTTCTCAATTTGCGGAAAAGGCCACTGAGGCTCAGAAAGGTTAAGTAACTAACTCATAGTCACACAGCTGTAAAGAGCAGAGCCAGGAGTTTAACACAACATAGTCTGACTTTAGTCTGTGGTTTTTGTTTTTTTCCCCCTCAATGTTACACCAGCTCCTAACATCCAATAATGCACACATGGCCTTTGGCAGCAACATTATAAATACAGAGACACTCCTGTTATTTTCCTTATTTTATTTTTTGTCAGGTGAGCTTCTTCCCTCAATAGTACCTTTATTCTCTTTGGTGATTCTTCTAGATGGAGCAAAACAAAACAAAACAAAAAACAAACACACACAAGCAAACTAAAGAGGGTCCCTATTTGCAATCAAGAAAACACTTCACAGATGTCCTCGACTTGGAAAGAGTGCAAAAATCAAAACAGATAAACAATTCTTGGCTAATATTGCCCAAGACTTGGAAAGCCAAGATGCTTCCTGAAGACCCAGGATGGATTGGCCTAGCCTCATTCCCAACTACAAGAGTAGCCCCATGTGAGAAGTTTCAGCCATGCCTGGAAACCCTCTTTGGAATCCCTACATATGCATGCCTGTGGGCGGGAACTGAGAACTTCTCAGCTCACAAAATTTGGCAGTTGTGTTTTTAAGACACGTGCATGGCTAACAGAATTAATCATGACTAACTGCGACCACCAACTTCATTTGCAGAGGCTGCAATGGTATGGGAATCGTTGAGTTGAACAGTCTTGGGTTCCATTTTGAAAATCTATTTTTTTTCTTTTTTGAATCAAAACCAAATGTACACTGAAAGAACTAGCGCCGATGAGAAAATTTAAAAGCCCACCATTTCAAATCCCACTAGCCGAGACTTTGGCTCCTACCACCATCTCTCTGAATCCTTCTCATTCACTGCCTCATTAATCCTCACCACACACTGTTGAAGTCAGCATCCTGTTTTAAGGATGAGAAAAAGAAAGTCCAGCAATACATTTCTTTAATGCATTCAGAAAAAATATCTTCCCAAATGCTTTCCCCATGGAGTCATAGTAAACATGGTCACTGAAGAAGTAGCAATCTCAACCAGGCGCTGTGGCTCACACCTGTAATCCCAGCATTTTGAGAGGCCGAGGTGGGCACATTGCCTGAGGTCAGGAGTTTGAGACCAGCCTGGCCAACATGGTGAAACCCCGCCTCTACTGAAAATACAAAAAAATTAGCCGGGCATGGTGGCACGCCTGTAATCCCAGCTACTCGGGAGGCTGAGGCAAGGGAATTGCTTGAACCAGGGAGGTGGAGGTTGCAGTGAGCTGAGATCGTGCCACTGCACTCCAGCCTGGGCGACAGTGTGAGACCCCATCTCAAAAAAAAAAAAAAAAAAAAAAGAAGTAGCAGTCTCATTACTTCATTGTATAGTAGCTGTTAAGCAGTAATTGCAGAATAATGTATTAAGCTCATGATCCTGAGAGTCTAGGAGCCTTAGGTTGGACACCAGTCTCAGCTGTATGTCCTTGGGCAATTACTTAATTTTTCTGATCCTCACTTTCCTCTTCCATGAAATGCCATTAATAACAATTCCTACCTCCTAGGATTATTGGGAGGTTTGAGATTATTTGTGTAAAGCACTTAGCATCATGCTTATGGGAAGCTGCTAATGGAATTTATCTGTTCTTAGCATTAGAAACATATAATTGTCAGGGTTATTTGAAAATCATCGCAATAACTCTTAACAATAGTAATTCTCATTTATTGATAATATCATATTCATATAAGGTTTTATAACCTCAATTCCCACTTGGCCTGGCAGCCACAGGAGGCCAATGGATCTATTTCATTTCTTCTAAATGCTATCCTCGGTCAGCAAATCAAGGGACCCAATTTTTGGCTTGTGCTGCAGGATAAAGAAATAACTCTAGTAGCATAGAATTGCTTAAGCTCTGTGCTGGGCTACGATAATGAAAATTCATGTGAGTCTCTGGAATAATGCCTACTTTAATTCTTTTATAAGGATACCGTAACCTAGTTGGGGATTAAAGATGCTTTCCTCTCTGTGAATAATTCCAACTTGCTTGGCTTGAGGTACCAAGTTTTGGTAGAGAGTTTAAGAAAAATGTTAATCAAAGCCATGATAAAATTTCTCTGAAGTGCAGTAAGGAGTCACATCTTGACTTTACTCCCATCTATGGTGGTTTAAAGCACACAAAGAAATGTTCTCTTACAAACATCAAACAGCTGCTCCAAAAATACAGGCTGAAAAAGGTCTCATCGTCCCATGTTTCAGCCACAACAAACAAAAGTTTATGAGAAGCCACGATACATTTGAGAGGCACTGGAACATTCTTTAGTGTCTAATGTCAATTGACAATCAGCAGGAGAACCACAATAAACATGCAGCTGCATGGCAGAAAAACTATAAACCCACGCCATATGTTGAAGCAGTCACTGCTGTTGGCCACCAAACCACCTACGGTCCCCTTGACCTCACAGACTGATGACTGGGCCCAGCCGTGAGGCTGCGAGGTGACCATTGCCCCTGCTGAAATCTCACCATTCCTCCAACATCCCGAAAGGTCAGAAGCCTCACCCACAGTTTATAGATGGATTTCACTGAATCTCAGCCACTAACCACCTCATCATGCCTTCCAGATCACCTAAAATATATTTCTCAAACTCTGTTTCACAGAACGATAGTCCCAAGAGGTGGTCCTTGGCAAGCTGGTTCTGTAGTGGAAGAAGACTGGAAATGACTGCCTACCGCTGCTCTCACATGAAGTTTCTCACTCATCGGGAACCAAGGTGCTGCATAATGTCCTGATCTGCCAATCTTAGCATGTCACCTGCATCCAGAACAGCAGGAAGGAGAAAAGCAGAAGACCCTTTCCCTCTACAACAACATCCTAGAAATAACACACGACACTTCTATGCAAAACTTTATTGATGAAAACTCAGTCTGATGGCTGCTCTTGGCTATAAAAGGACTGAGAGAATTAGGTTTTCAGCCAGGACATAACTCTGGACTGTTAAAAGCCAGGGTTCTGGCCGGGCGCAATGGCTCACGCCTGTAATCCCAGCACTTTGGGAGGCCGAGGCGGGCGGATCATGAGGTCAGGAGATCGAGACCATCCTGGCTAACATGGTGAAACCCCGTCTCTACTAAAAATACAAAAAATTAGCCGGGCGTGGTAGCGGGAGCCTGTAGTCCCAGCTACTCGGGAGGCTGAGGCAGGAGAATGGTGTGAACTCGGGAGGCGGAGTTTGCAGTGAGCCAAGATCGCACCACTGCACTCCAGCCTGGGCGATAGAGCGAGACTCCATCTCAAAAACAGAACAAAACAAAACAAAACAAAACAGAAAACCCTGACATGATTCAGCTATTGGAAGGCTTTTAAAGTCTTTTTGACTGTAAATTTTCTGAATTCTAAATATAAATCAAGAATTTTCAACAAACTTGAGCATCCACATGTGATGTGTTATTGGCATAAGATATGCACTAGATTTTAAAAACTTAGGATGCAAAAAAATGTAAAGTGTCTCACTGATAAGTTTTATGTCTATTACGTGATGAAAGGATAATATTTTGGTTAAAATCACTTAAATATATTATTTAAACTAATTCTGTTACTTTTCACTTTTTAAAATGTGACTACTAGAAAATTTATTTATTTATTTATTTATTTATTTATTAATTATTGTTGAGACAGGGTCTTGCTCTGTCGCCCAGTATGGAGTACAGTGATGCGATCTTGGCTCACAGCAACCTCCATCTCCCATGCTCAAGTGATTCTCCCACCTCAGCCTCCTAAGTAGTTGGGACTACAGATGCACACCACCATGCCTAGCTAATTTTTGTAACTTTTTTGGTAGAGACGGGGTTCTTGCATGTTGTCCAGACTGGTAGAAAATTTAAAATTACAAACGTGGGTTTCCTTAGATTTCTACTGTACAGTGCTGGGCTAGAGTGTAGTAAGTCACTGAAGAAAGACCATTTCACAAGTCTGTTCTTTCTGCTGTAAATGAGGTACCAACTGAATCATCTCTGGTTGTAGCATGAACCCAGCACATTCAATGACAATGGGATGAACAAAGGAATATACATGCATACATGAAATGCAATATTTTTTCATTTCTAGGCTTCACTGCAGTTGCTGAAATCTGGCATCTCATGTGAGAGGCTCCCCTGGGTCTTTCACATGTTGTCAGAGATTCCATAGTTTATCACCTGAAATATTTTTCTTGTATTGTGTACCTCCTGGCAAGATCTTAAGTTGACATCAACTGAGAAATAAGGAAGTAAGAAATACTGTACTTTACTTCACTCATCTATTCAACAAGTAGTAATGGACTCTCTACTATACACCCAATACTGTTCTAGAAGAATATTGATTCAATGGTGACCACTCCAGACACGGTTCCTACCCTCCTGGGGCTTATCTTCTATTGAGAAACCAAACAAATAACAGAAAACATGTAGACCCTTTAATTAAGAAATTTACCCCAGAGGGTCTCACTTTTGGCCGGGCATGGTGGCTCACACCTGTAATCCTAGCACTTTGGAAGACCAAGTCAGTTGGATCACATAACGCCAGGAGTTCACGATCAGCCTGGCCAACATGACAAAACCCTGTCTCTACTAAAAATACAAAAATTAACCAGGTGTGATGGCATGTGCCTGTAGTCCCAGCTACTCCGGAGGCTGAGGCAGGAGAATTGCTTGAACCCAGGAGGTGGAGGTTGGAGTGAGCCGAGATTGAGCCACTGCACTGCAACCTGAGCAATAGAGTGAGAACTTGTCTCAAAAAAACAAAGAAAGAAAGAAAGGAAAAAGAAACTTATCTGCTGTATTTCCTTCCCCATGATCTTTCATATATTACCTTCACTGAGACTATTTTTTCTTTTCTATCTTCTCCTTCCTGGTAAGTTTTGGGAGAATCAAGGAAGCAATTTCTGATGAAGTCTTTGTTATGACACAGATAGGCTCCTGGGGGAACCTAAGAAAGTAAGCCACAAGATGGCCCCAGAATTAGACACTGCTGCCCAACATTCGTGCGACTTCTCCATCTCCAGTTCTTGACAGACGATCAAGACTAGTCACCAGGAGAACTGACTGTGGTTCTTTAAAGGAGCATATAATTATAATGCTTGGTACTTAAGGGATGTCTTTTATTTCAAGCTCTTTCAGCACCTAAGGAGTTTTAACTCCATAATCTTGGCAGCTTTTCATTACATTACTTTTTTTCCATCAAATTGTACAAGGACCTACTTGAACAACTTTTTTTTTTTTTTTTTTTTTTTTTGAGATGGAGTCTCCCTCTGTCACCCAGGCTGGAGTGCAGTGGCGTGAACTCGGCTCACTGCAAGCTCCACCTCCCGGGTTCATGCCATTCTCCTGCCTCAGCCTCCCGAGTAGCTGGGACTACAGGCGCCTGCCACCAAGCCCAGCTATTATTTTATTTTTTATTTTTAGTAGAGACGGGGTTTCACCATGTTAGCCAGGATGGTCTCAATCTCCTGACCTCGTGATCCACCTGCCTCGGCCTCCCAAAGTGCTGGGATTACAGGCGTGAGCCACCACACCCAGCCTGAACATTTTTAAAAAGCTCTCTATTAAAAAAATTGTTCATCTGCTTTATGCTCGTCTGTATTTCTTCTGTAACAGTTTGCTAGAACTTTAATGACCGTACTGTGTGCTATTTGAAGGCCAGGACATATTGCACTCATATAGTGCTGAACACATGGTATGTACCTTATAAATGCTTGTGTTGTTATAGTTTAAGTGTTAAGCCTATTTTATTCTTCTACCCGGTCATTGCTATAGGCAAAATGTTTTGAGTTAGTTAAGGAATTTTTAGTTGTTGGAAGCAAAAATTTACCATAAATCATACAAAAAATGGAATGTATTACAGGGCATTGGGATATGTTGAAGATGACAAGGTCAAAGGTGCATGATAGGCCTCATCAGGGCCTGGAACCAGGAACCCAGAAACCCAGGACCTGAGACTACTTTGTCCACCTCTCCTGGTTTCATGTGGCTTGTCATCTCTGTTTCTCTCTCTATAGGTCAACTTCCTGTCTTTGTGGTCAGCTTTTCTATGTCACTTGCACATGTCTATTATTCAAACTACTGTAGACACAAACATACATCCATCAGTATGTCCTCATAAGAAGATCTTAGGAAGGAAAAACTGATTGGTCCAATTTAGATCATGTGCTCCTGTTTGCTCCAATCAGCCGAGGACAAAGATGAAGACTCACACATTTCACAAATTAAGAAAAAGAGTTGATGGTGCAGCTGCTTTGAAAAACAGTGTGGCAGTTTCTCAAATCGTTGAACATAGACTTACCACATGACCCAGAAATTCCACTCATAGGCATTAATCAAAAAAAAAAAAATGAAAACATTCATCCACATAAAATTTGTACATGGATGTTTGTAATAGCCAATAAGTGAAAAGAACTCAAATGTCCACCAACTGGTGATCTGATAAATAAAACGTGGCTTAGCCGTGCAATGGAACGCTAGTGGGTAATAAAAAGGAAGGAAGCACTGAAACACGCTACAACATGGATGAACCTCAAACGCATGATGTTAGGTAGAAGAAGCCAGATGTAAAAGACCACATATTCTATGATTTCATTTATTTAAATGTCCAGAAAAGGCAAATTTCTAGACACGGAGTAGAGAAGTGTTTGCCTGGGACTGGAGTGGGAATGGGAAATAACTGTAATGGGCACGAGGTTTCTTTCCAAGGTGATGGGAAAGTTTGACTGTGGTGATGGTTGCACAACTCCATAAATATACTAAAATCCATTTAGTTGTATACTTTCAGTGGGTAAATTTCATCATATGTACATTATTTCTCAATAAAGCTATTCGAAAGGAAGGAAAGAAAGAAGGGAGGAGGTTTGGAAGAAATGGTTTACATCATCCATGGATGGGTTCCCCTCCAGTTGCCCCAACCTGCAAGGTGAATTCCTGCCTCTGTGTCATTTTTTGAATCATTTATTTTGCCAATACCATTCTACCCTCCATTTATTCAATTGTTGGGGGTGGGGGTGGGGGGGCTTCTGTTTCATTCTCTGCAGCTATAAGCATCAGACATTTCTCTCTTTTTAAAATGAATTTCTTATTCTCAAGGCCCCTAGACCTCACTTGCTGACACTCTTCACCTCATTCACGCATCCCCACAACTGACCTTCTTTCCCTCTATTTCATCATGCCCTATGAATTTCTCCTAAGATCCCAAAGTGGCGTTCCCTGAAATGTTCTTTCCCCACATCTCTGCAAAGTTCATTGGTGCCTCTCATTCAAGTCTTCCCTCTAACATCGCTTTCTCATAGGGATCATCCTGACAACTCTTTCTAAAACAGTGTCTCAATCCCAAATATTTTCTGCTTTTCCCTTAGGTCACCCTCCACCCTTCCCCGCCCTGCTCTGCGTCTGGAAACTGACTTATAGAGACACATCAATGGACTTTCCTGCCCTCTGCCTTCCTGTTGGGTTTGCCAAGGACCAGTCCTGTCTTACCAATTCCATTTTCAATTTTATTAGTGTAGGGACTAATCTTTACACTTTTGGATCCACCCTTTAATACTATCCCCAGTTCCTTATAGATGCCCCTCAATTTGTGGATAATGACTGCCATATTTATCATAGTTCCCTAGGAGGAAAACTGATAACCTTCTTTTGGAGATTCACAATATAAAGCATAATATCAAAGGCTCTGAGAAGGCCTGCACATAAACAAACAAAGCAAGCATGCAAACACATTTAATTTTGTTTAGCCTAGCTTATCCCAAACTTCTTAAACCATGGATCCCTTTTTCATGCAGTAAGTGTTAACGTCTTATAGACTTAAAGTCCTTCTGAGCATAGTTTAGGAAACTTTGTCTTTTCCTATGTGAGTTCCAATTTTCATGTCCGTCCCACAAACTTTCCCTTATGTCAGAGTTAAGACTCAGAGAAGTCAAGCGGCTTCTGCACAGTAATTTAAGCTCACGAGTTGCATAGCTGGAATTTGAGCCCATGCCTGGACACAATGAAAGCCATATTTTTGCCCCTGTACCATGCTCTTCCTAAGATAGGGTGGATTGCCTGGGATTCACCTTAATTATTTGATAAAAATAATTTGTAACTAACCATTGACTGCTTCTCAGTGAATGCTATTCTGAAGGACTTGATGACAGTTCATTCTCCGCTCCGACAGTCTGCTTTGCATTATCAATTTGTTAAGAAACTATTTTTGTAGAGCTGTGCAAAAGGAAACTTCTATCCAGACTGTCTGAATTATCCAAAAATTCTGAACTGATGGCATCCAAATGAATAAGACTTTACAGAACTGTATCTCAAGAATTGATTAGATTTGTCAGTTTTCCTGGGATATAAAGTCCTGGATGGCTTTCCTGAAAGTACGCTAGAACATAAATAATCAGTAAGTTTTCAGGTGAATTCCAGGGAGTCCATGGGAAAAAGAAAACTCTGGCTGTCTGCGTGGAAATCTGTAGTCTACCTGACAAAACCTTACACATAGTCCCAAAGTATGAGCTCTATGATGAGGGTGTTTGGGGGAAAAAAAAAGCAAAGATTTTTTTTTTTAAAGTTAAAACACTTTCCAGCAACCAGTGTTAAGATTTAACAGCCAAGAAGGTCAGGGTGATGAACTTGCAAACGTTCATGGACACTAGGCACCCAGTCAACTCCCCAAGCTCCAAAATGCTAGAGGGTCAGCAAACAAGGAAAACATGTTTTCCTAACTAAGAAAAAAATGACGTCTTGGATTGATATATTTATTTATTTATTTCCCATCAGGGGATTTTTGGAAGGCCATGTCTCTTGGCTTCCTGAGTCTCTTCCTCCTCTGTTTTAGGGAGGGTGATACGTAAGGCAAAGCTTACAAAACAAGATTTGGACCATTCTCCTTTATGTTTTCCAGAGGCTACATACTAGTGATGAAAGATCTGACCCAGGAATTTAAGTTCATGAGTGGGGTGGGGCGGTGAGGGGATGCTGGGGGGCCTTCCATCCCCAGCTTCTGTCTGTCCCTGTGGCTGGACTCCAACCACTTTATTTTTGAAGGGCTGAGCCAGTCCTGTGGTTCACTGGTGGATCCATCTTTCCTTACAAGGAAGTGGCTTTTTGCTTCTTTCTGGGATGTGGGGTCTGGGATGTGTTTACGCTCAGCAGAGCTTTGGATGAGTCTCAGTATCCACTCATTTATTCAGTGAGTACTAATTGAACATGACTGTATGCCTGGCACTCTGCTAAGCATTGAAGATGTCAGAAACAAACAACACTATGTCTATCTTCTTAGGGATCCTGATATTTTTTGAATTACGTGGCACCAGTTCCCACTATAGGTCATTTGGACTCAGAGGGAAAGATTGTATTAGCAATCATCTTTCCCAATCCTCCCACTTTACAGATGGGAAGACCAAGGTTCAGAGAGGAAGAAGGGGCTTGCTCAGGGTCACATGGTAGATTACTTACATGTTCTGAAGAAAGATACAGTTTTCTTGCTATTTAACCCAAAGCTCTCTTCTTTGTATCATATTGCCTCTCACGGTTCATTCAACTAGCTTTCCTGAGCACTCGTTGGACACCATGAACTGCATTAGGCTGAATGAAACTCACATATGTCACTCAAGAAGTTGAAAGATCCAAGCTGGTGGTGATGGATTCTTAAGTCATTAACTGGGAAATATGGAAGAGAGAGTGTAGACGTGGGAATTATATGGGCTTAGGTTTAAATTCTGGAATCCCACTTACTCATCATGGAATTCAACTTATTCATCATGTTGTCTTGGGCAATTATTTAGCTTTTCTGAGCTTCAGTCTTCTCACCCTTAAAACAGGAATAGTGCTAGGACCTAGTGCCTATGAATGTTGGAAGTAGAAGCAACAATATATGGAAAATACTTTGCAAAGCACCTGGCACAAAATACTGAGCACTGACTGGTTGTCATGAGTAATAATCACTGTGATAAATGCTATCTATAATTGTGTGTACAGCATTCTGGAAACACATAGCAAGAAGGAATTCCATCCCAGGGATAGGACCTTTGGTTGGATTTTTCTGCCTGATTTTGGGGAGGAGGCATATTTTTCAAGGTGAAAATCTCTCTACAGGCATTTCTGCTCTAAGAATTATATTCTCTTATGAATGACTAGAAAAGTGAGTACAAGAAACATGGCCACAAAGTGATATAAACACAAAACAGGACCATTCTTGAAGCTGACCAGCTAGATATTGAGTTCTTTTAATGGATACATCCACATGCTCCAACTACAAAGATAATCCATGTTTAAAGGATGATCCAAGACATGGGAATCTCAAAATGCCTTATGAATCATCAGAGATCAAACAGATTGAGTCATCCAGGATTATTTACATTTTTTATGTTGCAATGCTTTGAAAATTGGTAATAGTATAGAGTTCACTCCCTGTTGATGCTAACAGCAATTGGCCTTGACAAGCATTTCCCAAAGCCTGCTTTGTGGAACACTAGACCTGTGGCATTCTCACTAACTTTAGGTAAAACATGTACCCACATATTTCCAGAATACGTTAGCTCATGCACAGCACAGTCCCTGAGTGCAGAATCCCATTTATGTTCTTTACCCTAGTAGAATTTCCTTTAATCCCTTGATTATAATGTCCTCTAGGACAGGAACTGTGCTTGTCTTGTTCTTCACTGTATCCCAGCAACTGGCACAATTTCTGGGATGTCGTACACACTTAGTATGTATTTCTTGAAATAATCATGTACTTCTTAAAAGGACTTGTAAAAGTAATTTCAACTTTTATCTTAGATTCAGGGGGTACATGTGCAGGTTTGTTACATGGTATGATACATGACACTGAGGTTTGAAGTGTAAATGATCCCATCACCCAGGTAGTCAGCATGATACCCAGTGGGTAGTTTTAAACCCTTGCTCCCCTCCCTCTCTCCCCCTTCTAGCAGTCCCCAGTGTCTATTGCTTCCATATGTACCCAATGTTTAGCTCCCACTTATAAGTGAGAACATGCAGTGTTCGATGTTCTGTTCCTGCATCAGTTCACTTAGGCTAATGGCCTCCAGCTGCATCCATGTTGCTGCAAAGAACATGATTTCATTCTTCTTTATGGCTGTGTAGTATTTCTTGGTGTATATATACCACATTTTTAAATTTTTTACCCAATCCGCCATTGATGGGCACTTAGGTTGATTCCATGTCTTTGCTACTCTGAATAGTGCTGCAATGACCATATGAGTGCATGTGCCTTTTTGGCAGAATGATTTATAAAACATGGAAATTTATCCTGAGAGGCTACAGAGGTGCCTTAAGGACAGCAGAAAGAAGGTGGGATGGGGCAAAATGGGTGGGGCTCCAGACCACACCCTTGCCTTAACCACATCCTCCACACCTTAACGGTGACTGCTCTATAGATTTGGCTTTCTTTTGAATTAAGGGTTAAGTGTTTGTAACACACCACTGTGGAGAAGAGTATGGAGGTTCCTCAGTGTATTAGTCCATTTTCACATTGCTGATAAAGAGGTACCTGAGATAGGTAATTTATAAACAAATAGAAGTTTAATGGACTCACAGTTCCACATGGCTGGGGAGGCTTCACAATCATGGTAGAAGGCAGAAGGCACGTCTTACATGGCTGCAGACAAGAGAGAATGAGAGTCAAGTGAAAGGGGTTTCCCCTTATAAAACCATCAGATCTCATGAGACTTATTCACTATCATGAGAACAGTATGGGGGAAACCACCCCATGATTCAATGATCTCCCACCCAGTCCCTCCCACAACACGTGGGAATTATGGAAGCTACAATTCAAGATGAGATTTGTATGGGGACACAGCCAAACCTCATCACTTAGAAAACTACAAATGGAACTACCATATGATCCAGCATCCCACTAGTGGGCATTTATCCAAAGGAAGGGAAATCGGTACATCAGAGACATCTGCACCCCCGTGTTTATTACAGCCAAGATATAAAGTCAACCTAGGTGTCTAAAGATAGATGAATGAATAAAGAATGTGGATGAATAGCATGGAACACTATTCAGCCATAAAAAAGAATGAAATCCTCTCTTTCATAGCAACATTGACAGAACTGGAGGACATTATGTTAAGTAAAATAAGCCAGGCACAGAAAGTTGAAACCTTTCATGTTCTCACTCATATGTGGAAGCTAAAAAAAAAAAAAAAAAAGCTGATCTCACAGAAATAAAAAGTGGAAAAAGGATATTAGAGACTGGGAAGGGTAAGGGAAGAGGGCTTAAGGACAAATTAAATGTGACAAAATTACAGCTAAATAGGAGGAATAAGTTCTAGTGTCCTACAGCATTGTAGGATGACTCTAGTTAACAATAACACATTATATAGTATCAAATAGCTAAAAGGAGGATATTGAATGCTCCCAACACAAGAATGATAAATGTTGGAGGTAATAAATATGTTAATTACCTTGATCTGATTACTATACGTATGTATCTCATAAATATGTACAATTAAAAAATTTAAAAAATTAACAGACAAACAAATACACTGTTCTAGAAGAAATTGTATCATAGAATGTAGGTGTTGAATAGTTGAAGGGAACAATCAAGGTTGGGCCTGACAGATTTAGCTATGTGTATTTTACTTCTTCTATTCTTTTCTTTCTTTCTTTTCTTTTCTTTTTTTTTTTTTTTTTGGAGACAAGAGTCTCACTCTGTTGCCCAGGCTAGAGTGCAGGGGCACGATCTTGGCTCACTACAACCTCCACCACCCAGGTTCAAGTGATTCTCGTGCCTCGGCCTCCAGAGTAGCTGGGACTACAGGTGTGCACCACCATGCCTGGCTAATTTTGTATTTTTTAGTAGAGACAGGTTTCTGCCATGTTGGCCAGGCTGGTCTTGAACTCCTGACCTCACGTGATCTGCCCACCTCAGCCTCCCAAAGTGTTGGGATTACAGTCGTGAGCTTCTGTGCCCAGCTAGCTAGGTGCATTTTAAAAACTATAACTCCAAAGCTCATTTGATTGTGGCCCTAGTCATTCATTCTTCCCTAATTATGGAATGTTTCTACATGTCAAACACTGCTCTAGACCTTGAAGATACAGACAAATATGAAAGACAAGGCCTCTTGACCTCAAGGAACTTATGGTCCAGTGGGAGAAAAGGGTACTCTTAATAAACCAGTAAACAATCACATAGCCAGCATGATTTCAAATGAGACACACACCATGAAGATGATATAATGGAGATGAAGTTGAGAGTGCTGGAGAACGAGGTGGTGATGGAAAAGAAGTCCTCTCATGGAAGAAGCCATTTGTATTGAGACCCAGAAGGCATCTGAAGACTAGCAGGGAGGAAATCCTGCCTGCAAGGGATGGCATATGCAAAGACATTGAGGCAGGAGTGAAATTTGTATGCTTGAAGAACATGAAGCAAGCCAGTGTGGCCAGAGCGTATAGTAAGGTAGGGATTGAAATGTGATTGAAGATGTAAGCCGAGGGTTACATTCAGCTCATCTGTCTTCTCAGTGTCAACCACTGTGTCTGGCAAAGACCAGGCACCATGGATATATGCTCAAGGTCCAAACTAATGAAATTAATTAATTGCATCTCTCAATTCCTGTTCTCCATAACCTTTGGTGCCACTGTCTGTGCATATTTTACAAAATAAAGCTAATTTTAAAAACACAGCTGTATATTGTTGTAGCTATTTTAATAAGTATGACCATGCCTATGGAGTCAGTACAAGAAAGGATTTGATATTGACTGCCCCCCACCCCCCAAATCTAAGACTTACTTAGAGGATAGATATTGCCCAATTAACTGACTGGAGACACAGGGAAATTGCCGCCTACTACAGAAAAATTATCTTTGGGGAAAATAGCCCATGGAGGACCAATGACTTGGCCAACATCACACAGGGGATTTGATGAATACCAAGGGTAGGAGCCCATCTTCTTACCCTGCAATTGAGCTCTTGGATGGGAAGATTACCTGATCCATTTAATTCCATCTACTTTGACATGCTCGTACTTGAAGATTCCCCAGTACAATGTACTCAGTTCCCAAAATATGGGATTTTAAGTGAAACCCTGACGTTTAGCTCTAGGGCTAAATAGCAATACACAAATCCCCCAATTAGAAGCAGAGATGGAGATGAAATGGTCCCAAGGAATCTGGAGACACAACAGTTTCAAAAGGCAGCAACATTCTGGGGCAGAAAGAGAGAAGTTTCAGATCTCACACCAGGAATGCAAAACTAAATGAGAACCATTCAAAAGCTCTGGGGGGTTATAAAGTTGAATTCCCTCTTGTACAGTACACAAGAGTTATTAAGTGTGTATATGAGGCTCCTGTTTTACTTCATGTACATGATTATTTTATACAGGCAAGTTTGGAAAGAATTATAGGCTGAGAGCTGGCCAAGATGCAAGATGAGCAGCAGAGAGTGGGGGCGGTGGTTGCCATGTCATTGTTTGGAAGCTTAGGCTTCTTGGAGAAAGCTAAGGCGGGATCTATCATAGGTCAAAGGGTTAGGGTACAAGTAGAGTGTAGAGTTGGACTCTGTGCAAAGCTCATCTCCAAAAAGGCATTCCAGGCTTCAGCTTCACGGGAAAGGGGCAAGTTTGAGAACGAAGGGAACAGAACTAGGGACCAAGCCCAGCAAGCTTGGTTTAGTCCACTAATGTCTGGAGACCAGGAGGATAAAGAATTTGGATTTGACTTGCCTGGCTTTAAGATATGAGAGAGAGCATGGGTTATTGTCAACGTAGCCAGTGATTACAAAAGTGAGAATATATTATGTTTCTGAAAGAAGTCCCGGAGGCAGAGAGCTGGGGATAAAGGGCTGCTTTTAGGCGAGACCCAATTACAACCAGTCTGGACTGGTCACATCTTTCCTGAAAGTGGGTCAGAGGCAATGGAATTGGTCTACCCAGCTCTTTCTGGATTACATTCCTATATAAGAGGGGCAGGTCTCTGGCATCGGAAAATGCTGAATTCCTACCTTTGCTCTTAACTCTGTGAACTTGGGAAAGCCCCAGTTGTACCCACTGTAAAATAGGGATTAAAACCTCTACTTATATTAAATTTTTAATATGGCAGAGACTATGCAAGGTGGGCTGTTATTAAGTGACAGCTGTCATATTAATAATAATGACTATATTAATAATTTTAATGAAGAAGGATTGACTGGGTGGCATGTGGAGTGGGACTGATATTGGGCATGGTATGTGTAGTTTGATGAGCAGGGGATCTCTCACCATCTGTTTTATATGGCCTGGGTTCACTGTGGTGCAGCTACAAAAGACTCCCAAAGCTTTACCGAGTTGGCAAAATGGTTCTATAGCTTGAAAGACATTGTTTTCATGGTGACCTCCCTCACATTCATGGATTATTTGAATTTTGTAGACACTAGCCAGACCAAATGTCAACTGTACTAGAGGCTAAAGCTTTTCTCTTGGGTAAGCTCAAGATACACTACATGAAGCCCTAGTTTCTTGGAGCTACAGCTTAGCTAAAGAAATATAATGCATACAGCTAGGCATGGTAGCTCACACCTGTAATCTCAGCACCTTGGGAGACTGAGGCAGGTGGATCACTTGAGGTCAGGAATTCAAGACCACCCTAGCCAACATGTTGAAACTCCATCTCTGTTAAAGACACAAAAATTAGCCAGGTGTGGTAGTGCATGCCTGTAATCCCAGCTACTCAGGAGGCTGAGACAGGAGGATCATCTGAGGCTGGGAGGTGGAGGTTGCAGTGAGCTGAGATAGTGCCACTGCCCTCCAGCCTGGGCAAGATTCTGTCTCAAAAAAAAAGAAAAGTTTAAAAAGAAGTGTAGAAATATAATGCATACATAAATCTGTATTATTAGGACACAAAATTGTCTTCTTTTGTCAGGCTTAAACAAGATAGACATTTATTTTTGTCACATATATCATACAAGGCAGTTTCCATCCCATAAGGCCGTGCAGAGACACAGGCTCCTTCAGCCTTGTTGCTCTGCCAATTCTAGAATGTTGCTCTTAATGACATAGTCTAAGATTGCACATAACCACCTTCATTCCAGCTGGAGAAAAGAGGGCAAGAAGAGAGAGGCATGATCCTTCCTTTTAAGGGTATAACTATTGGTCAGATTGGAGTCACATGACCACGTGGCTGCAAAGAAGGCTGGGTAATGTAGTATTTATTCTCAATGCTCATGTACTTAGCTAAGAGTCAGGGGTTTGTGGAAGCAATGGGAGAACAGGTATTGCAGCAATCAAGTATTTATGCTCAGTTTCCTTTTGGCAAGGTTAAGCAACATAGGTTCAGGTCTCAGCAAGACCTGGATTTGATTCCCAGCTCTCTTGTTTGCCGATGGAATGAATTCAGACTAACTTTATACCCTCTGCTTTGTCAGTTGTAAACTAGGGATAAATAATAACTCTAGCTTCACATGACTGTTGTGAGGATGCATATAGAATGCATATTACAGAGTTTGTACTGCTGTTGTTGCTACCTCTGCAGCTGGTATCAAAACCTTGGCTCCTTCCTTTCCATGCTGATTCTGCTGTGCTCCATCCAGGCAGTTGCAGCTACTGGAACGTTTTTTGCACTTAGCTTGTTACACGCCTTCTCCTCCCAGACTGTAAGGTCTTAGGAACAGGGACCATGCTTACATCCATTTTAACATTCTGAATAGGTTGCATAGCACCTGGAACAGACTAGGTTCTCAATAATGTTTGCTCAAATTAATAAATGAATGTAAATCTGCTGCTGATGAAGACAGAGCTGCTTGTAAAGGGGCCTGAGATGGCACCCTACATGCCAGGTGCTCTAAGTTTCTTACATGGGCTAACTTATTTATTAAATCATTAGTGAGTACTATTTAATATTACCATGTTTTTCAGGGAAGGCAACTTGAATACAGAGATGCTATACTTAGATTGACCAAAGACATCCAGATATCAGGTGAAACAGCCTGGGCTTTGGACCCAGAAAGCTTGGTTTCAGGATCCATGCTCTTAATCGCCATACTGACTCTTCGCTTTGGGATAGATCAAAGATACCTCAGTTTAAAGACAGATTAAATTAGACCCTTTCATATTTGATTTTCAGTAAAAAAAAAAATCATCTTTAGATTTTCAGCTCTTAGAAGAGTCATTTCAACTAATCTGATGGTCTTCCTTCCTCCCTCCCTTTCTCTCTTCCTTTACTCCTTCTTTCCTCCCTTCTTCCTTTCTTCTTTCTTTCCTACCTGCCATTTTTCTTTTCTTGTTTCACAGAACAACACCCCTCCACCCCATTAACTGTTAGGACATATAAAACAGAACACAGTGAAGTGTCAATGGTTGAAAAGGACAGTACCACATTTTCCCTACTAGCTTTCCCTGTCATCTCTAGGAGGGTCCTTCTAGTAAGTTCAAAGTTCTATGACATACACTTTGAAAACTATCAACTTAATTCACCCCCTTCTTTACAGTGGGGAAAACTGAGGCCAGTGCAGAAAGGGATTCATCCAAGTCTAAATCAGAAATGTACCATCCCACCTGAGTGCAGTGGCTCACTCACGCCTGTAATCCCAGCACTTTGGGAGGCTGAGGCAGGCAGATCATCTGAGGTCAGGAGTTTGAGACCAGCCTGACCAACATGGTGAAACCCCATCTCTACTAAAAATACAAAATTAGCTGGGCATGATGGTGCACGCCTGTTATCTCAGCTACTTGGGAAGCTGAGGTAGGAGAATTGCTTGAACCAGGGAGACGGAGGTTGCAGTGAGCCGAGATCATGCCATTGCCCTCCAGCCTGGGCGACAAAGGCGAAACTCTGTCTCAAAAAAAGAAAAAAGGAAAAAGAAAAAAAGAAATGTACAGTCATAGTGTTCAGCTCAGTAATCAAGCTGTTTGTAATACATGCTATGAGTCTCCAAGAAGGCCGTCAGATACTTTCAACCAAAGTCACCCAAACTCTGGAGCAGGAGATTACAGTTAAGTTGCTGGTGAATTACAGCTTCAGATAACTGAAGAGAACACATTAATTATTTAAGACTGTTGTTGTTAGGCAAAAATATATGTGGCCAATATTTGGAGGCAGAACATTTGTTGCAATCTGTGCTTGAGAGGCGGATGTGTTTGTTTATTCTAAAAGTTTGCAAAGTGCCAACTCCCCAGCAGTGAATAACTTAATAATGCAAATGTAAATCTCAGACTCTAAACTGGCTCAGAGGAGGTGGTGATTATGGAAAAATCCTTTTTCATCTAGCCCAAGGAACTGACCACCCATGAGCTGGAACATAGACCTCAAAGCAGGAAAGGAACAGAAGTGTCCAAAGAGGAAATGGAAAACATAACGCAGAAACAAGCTGGTCCTTGAGAATGACCATATGCAAGCAGAGGCAGGGGCAGTATTCTCAGGTGGTTCCTCGAGGCCTTTGGGCTCCTGGGTTCTGGATGAGGATGCGATATGAAGATAAGAACAATCTACTTTAAAAGGCCCCAAAGAATTTGGATCCCAGAAGCCTTAGACTATTGGCTTAGATTTGGGGTTGCAAAGCCAATGTCTACCCAGACTGGGCAGGAAATGAAAGTTAGTAAGTGAGTTGGGTGTAAGATGATAAAAGACGGCTGCCACTTAGTCTCAGTGTTGGGAGGCAATGGGGAGTAGTGGGGAGTGCAGTTAACTCAAGCAAATTTGCCTCGATTAAAGACAGCAGCTGCTGGCCCTGAGCCAATTGTTGCCATGTGTAAATGTAGGTCCAGTGTTGACTAATGTTTTGAAAGAAATCAAAAACTTTGAGTTTCATGAGAAATTGATCTGCGTTTTAAAATATTCCCAACTATTTTAAAACTGCAAAGTTTTAAAAGCAACCTGTGAGCTGTCTCCTCCCTCTCCCTAATACAGCCACTAAATATGGCCGTTAACTATCTGTGTGGTCCCACATTTAAAATCCTTGGAGTACACAGATGACATCTGATTTTACCTCTTTATTCTGTAGGTATAAAAAATAGACCTCAGCTTTCATCTTAAGTCACATGGTCGATGGCAGAGCTGGGACCAGAACCAGTTCTGAGTTCTGCCCTTCTTTTCTTCCCAATATAGATTCTAGAACAGTGTGTTTCAGATTGGACAGGAAGTGTATTCTGAGTAAGGACAAGTGAAGTCTCTTGTTCTCCATGGAGAACAGTGAATCCTGCCCTAGTCCTTGATGGTGATGTCAGCAATGATGCTGATAAATATCAGGTAGAATGTTTTGGGCAGCAAGTAACAGAAAACCTTGATTCACATGGACTTAAACTCCTCCTCCTTCCCTTTCTCCCTCACTCCTCCCTTCTTCCCATCTTCCCTGCCTCCTTCCTCTCTTTCTCCCTCCCACTTCCTCTCTACCTCCCTCTCTTCCTTCCTTTTTTCTTTCTTTCTTACCCCCTCCTTCCCCCTCCTACCTTCCTCTCTTCCTCCTTTTCTCTCTTTCTTCCTTTCTTCTTTTCTCTCTTCTTTATCCCCTCTTCCCCACCCCTTTCCCTTCCTCCCTTTCTCCCTCTCTCTCTCCCTTCCTTCTTTCTTTACTCCCTCCATTCCTTCCTTCCTTCCTCCTTTCCTTCTTTTATTTCTTCTTTACTCCCTTTTTCCCTCCTTTCCTCCCTCTCCCTCTTTTTCTTTCTTCCTCCCTTCTCTTTCTTTCCCTATCCCTCTTTCCCTCTGTTCCTCCCTTCTCTTCCTCCCTTCCTTCTCTTTCCTTCTCTTCCCTTTCACTTTCCTTTCTTTCCTTTTCCTTCCTCCCTCCTTCCTTTCCTCTCCTCTTTCTTCCTTCCTTCTCTTCTCTTTTCTTTCTTTTCCCTTTCCCTCTTCCCTCCTCCCTATCCCCCTTTTTCTCCCTTCCCTTCTCTCCCCACTCATGTCCTCTCCTCTCTTACCCTTTCTTTCTCTTCCCTTTCCTTTTCTTGCCCTCCCTCCCTTCCTCCTTTTCTATCTCTCACTTTTCCTCCTTTTTGTAAGAACAAGGTTGACAACAGCAAGGTCTATGTATTTCACTGATTCTCCTAGAGATTGAGAATGAAAATCTCTCTTTTCGAAACCTCCGTGCAGGCATGGGCTATATAGATCCTTCTTTTTTTAATCTAGTTGAGCCCATGTGTCCACTTCTGGGTCAATTATCAGTAGTCAAGGGATAGCTGTTTGCAGATCAGTTGAGCGTTTCAGTTAATCCCACAACTGAGATGGGATTCTGTAGGGGAAGGCATAGTTTTGTGTGTGCTCACCTTCCTGTTCACCTGGATACCTTGGCTCCTTGAGGAGGCCAGTGAGCCAACTTGTGGCTCTTCAGAATGTTCTTGTGGTGAGCTGCCCCTGGGCTTTTCCTCAAATATCTAGAAGCCCAACTCTCTGTTTTCCTGGTGAACCTAGTCTAAGGGCAGAGCTTCCCAATCTTTAGTGACACCAGATAGCCCAAGAATGTTCATAAAAATGAACATTCCCAGGCCCCTATCCTCAGAGATCTGAGAATCTGAATATTTTTACATTTCCCCAAGTGATTTTTATTTGGGTGGTCAAGTGTCATAATTTAAGGAGCCCTCCTCTAGGCTATGACACCTGGATGGCTCCAACTCACATATATTTAAGAAGTGGCCATCGGCCATCAAAGAAATTCGTAGGTTCATGAAAGGTAGAATTTTAATCTGTTACGGCACAATAGAAATTTCTTTTTTGTACCTACCTTTGAATTCTTAAAATTAGCATCTGCATTTCCAATCATGGTTTTCTGGAGTGCCTATAAGGCACCTTTAGAAAAGAGTAAGGAAGCATTTGGGAAGAAGATAAAAGGAAGGCTATTTGTCCACTTTGACCAACATCTCAATTTATCCTCAGTCCATGGGCCACAGATATGGGGGAGAAGTTGCCCTGGTTCTAATTAATTAATGTAACCCTATTTGTGGAATTTTGGCCACTGTATGATTGAGGTTGTACTTAAATAAAGTTGACTCACAAGTGGGAAAATAATTGCCACTCAGAATTTAATCATTCTAATAACTCAAGGGAGTTTCATGCTAGCATTTAACTCCTCTCTGTAACTTGCTGTATCTCCTATTTATTTATTTATTTATTTTTGAGACAGAGTCTTGCTCTGTCACCCAGGCTGGAGTGCAGTGGCATGATCTCGGCTCACTGCAAGCTCTGCCTTCCGGGTTCACGCTGTTCTCCTGCCTCAGCCTCCTGAGTAGCTTGGACTACAGGTGCCCACTACCATGCCCAGCTAATTTTTTTTTTTTTTTTTTTGAGGTGGAATCTCACTCTGTTGCCCAGGCTGGAGTGCAGTGGCTCCATCTCGGCTCACTGCAAGCTCCGCCTCCTGGGCTCATGCCATTCTCCTGCCTCAGACTCTTGAGTAGCTGGGACTACAGGCATCCGCCACCACACCCGGCGAATTTTTTGTATTTTTAGTAGAGACGGGGTTTCACCGTGTTAGCCAGGATGGTCTCGATCTCTTGACCTTGTGATCTGCCTGCCTCGGCCTCCCAAAGTGCTGGGTGAGCCACCGCACCCAGCCTATATTTCCTTTTTAAAAAAACTTTTAAGTTCAGGGGTACATGTGCAGGTTTGTTACATAGGTAAACTCGTGTCATGGGGGTTTTTTATACAGATTATTTAATTTCCGCGGTATTAAGCCTAGTACCTATTAGTTATTTTTCCTGATCTTTTCCCTCCTTCCAGCCTCCACCCTCTGATAGACCTCAGTGTGTGCTGTTCCCCTCTGTGTGTCCATGTGTTTTCATCATTTAGCTCCCACTTATAAGTGAGAACATGTGGTATTTGGTTTTCTGTTTCTGCTTTAGTTTGCTAAGAGTAAAGGCCCCATCCGTGTTCCTGCAAAGGACATGATCTCACTCTTTTTTAAAGCTGCATAGTATTCCATGGTGGCTATATCCCTTTTGACATAGAGAGAGCAGACCTTGGACTCAGAGACTTGATAGTAACATCAATATAGGTATATTAACTTCAATATAATTAAAAGCATCTAGCTCTCATTTAATTGCTTTGTTTTCCCTTCATTATATATCAGGCAGGATACATGCCAGATTATGCTGACCTAAAAAAGTCCCCATAGCTTCAAATAACAGTTTTATTTTACATTCACACTGCTTGTCCATCATGGGTCTCAGGGGATTTCCACTTACTGGAATCACTTAGGGATGCCCGCTGATGCAGGGACCACCATCTCAAACATTGTTGGTTCCCATCGAGAAGATAAGGTAATTTTGATAGTTTTCACATACCTGTTAAATAGTGTGGCCTGAGTAATACACAGGGAGCTTCTGCTCACAGCCTATTGATTAGAACTAGTCATATGGCCCTGCCCAGGCACAAGCACCCAGGAATAAGAGCCTCTCATGTGACTGGGAGGGGAGAACTGGGGATATTTGATAATGAGCACAAGCACCCACCACACATTGTGTATATTTGCTCTGGTCCTCCATCATTGTTTTCTACTAGATTCTGAAGGTAGGCACCTTCCTTAGGGATGTGTTAACCTAGAGTACAGCCAGCTGTCCATGTAAAACTGCAACCGGACAGCCTGGGTGTGACCCTGGGCATTAACCCCCCCTGACTGTGTGCCTTTGGGCAAGTCACTTCACCTCGTTGGTCCTCAGTTTCCTCATCTGTAAAGTGGGCTAGTAATAATGGCACTGACTTCAGAGGGTCATTGAGAGATTAATAAAAGAGTTAATACGTGCAGTGAACATTGAGTGTGGCACATAATACACACTCAGTAAATGTTAGCTGTGGCTTTTGTAGCCCTGGAGCCAATCAATTACCTAAGCAATTACAATTAAGTGTAATGGGTGTGTGTGTAGTTGTATTAGTCAGGGTTCTCTAGAGGGACATAACTAATAGGATAAATATGTAGATAAAGGGGAGTTTATTAAGAGAATTGACTCACATAATCACAAGATGAAGTCCCACAATAGGCTGTCTGCAAGCTGAGGAGCCAGGAAGCCAGTGTGAGTCCCAAAACCTCAAAAGTAGGGAAGCCGACAGTGGAGCCTTCAGTCTATGACCAAAGGCCTGAGAGGCCCTGGCAAACCACTGATGTAAGTCCAAAAGTCCCAAAGCTGAGGAACTTGGGGTCTGATATTCAAGGGCGGGAAGCATCCAGCATGCAAGAACGATGGAGGCCGGAAGACTCATCTAGTCTAGTCTTTCCATGTTCTTCTGCCTGCTTTTATCCTAGCTGTGTTGGCAGCTGATTAGATGATGCCTACTCGGAGTGTGGGTCTGCCCCTCCCAGTCTACTGACTCAAATGTTAATCTCCTTTGCAACACCTTCACAGACACACCCAGGAACAATTCTTTGCATCCTTCAGTCCAATCAAGTTGACACTCAATATTAACCATCACATTAATGAAGTGCAGGCTATGTAGGTATCAAGCAGTGGGAAGGGAATCAAGTCTAGGGCTTTATGGGAAAAAGGTCTCCCTGCAGGAGCAGGGCCTGAAGGAAGAGGGTGGTTCCCCAGGGGAAGAAGGTGACAATCTACATCGTAGTCAGAGGGAATTGCAACTGTGCAGGATTGTGGTGGGCTTTAATGGACTTCCATTAAAGGAATTCCGGATAGAGAGCTGATTTGAATAAATGGTTGCTGCTTTTCCTTTGGTGCCTTGTAAGTGATATCAAGTTCGTAGCTCTTGCAGACATCTCAATTCTCAGTAAGAGCTGGCCTTCCAGAGCAGCCTTTGCCTTGCCCCTTGGATGTGAACTTCCTATGGCCTAAGACCAATTCATTAAGAGCTCAGAACTGCTCTCGGTGGGTGGCCCAGGAATGACTACTGTCTGCAGAATGGTGGGGAGAAACTTTTCTTAGAGGATTTTTGGAAACATAAGGACTAAATAAATTAGAGTTTGGATTACTTGAGCAAGCGAGTGCTTTTCAGAGTATAGAAAGCTAGGGTGTTTGCGTGTGTGTTGTGGTTGGAGGTGGAGAGAGCTGGTGAGGAAGGAGCAGGAAGAAATCCACAGGGAATTTTTATAAAAGGCAGAACATTGCAGAGCTCTGTTTCTGAAGAGATAGATCATAACCTTTTCAATTTTATGCTAATTTGCCTTCCCCAGTCACTTTGGCTTGGATTTGCTCATCGTGAATCTTCAACCAGGTGTGTGCGTGTTTAAGAAAACTGCTTTGAGCTGCAGTCCTGGCATCAGTCAGCAGCCACCCAGCCTGAAACTTCAGTGAGGCTGGTGGGTGAGATCGTCTGGCTGGCACCCTGGTAAGAGTGTCATTTATTGAGACAAACTGACTTTCTAGAAAGAACTTCCACTTGACCAGTAGGCAAGAGCAAAACACATGGTGATGAGGCACAGTGGAGGTTTCTTACCCTCCAGGAATCATTAAACCAGTAAGGTGCACCGCCATGACTTAAGCCCTCCTATGTGCCGGGCACTGCACCAAGTTCTTTTCCCAGATAATCTCATTTGATTTCCACAGCAACCTTGAAATGGAAACGTTATTTCAAGGAGGATTCCCTGCTATGTCCAATTTGACACAGTTCATTGAGGGAACAGCCATAGCCCAAAATCACAGTTTTTATTACTTGGAAACATGTGTAGTAGATGTCCTGGTTTTTTATCTTATTCCTGACTCTGCAACCCATCTCCTCACTCAAGGAAAAGTTTGACTACCTGATGTTTTAGTGTCTTGGCCATGTCAATTGAAAGAAAATGTCCTATATGCTGGTCTGAAAATCCTTATTTTGGGATGAGGAAACTGAGGATAAGAGAAGTCAAGTCATGATAAGTTCCAAAGTGGCAAAGCTGAGATTGCTTTTTTTTTCCATTTAATATTTTTTAGCATAATTTCAGGCCTGTACACAAGTTGCAAAAAAATTTCTGTATACTCCTTACCCAGTTTCCCCAAATGTTAACACTTTACCCCATTGGTTTTATCCTCCTGCTTTTATTTTTTTCTAAGCCATTTGAGAATCAGTTGAAGGTTTAATGTCACCTTACTCCTAAATACATCAGTGTTTATTTCCCAAAAACAAGGATGGTCTCTTACATTACTGCAGAACAGCTATTAAAATAAGAGGAATGATATGGATACAGACACACTATTATGATTTAATCTACAGAGTTTGTTCATACTTCACCAATTGACAAATAGTCCCTATGGTGTACTTATTGCTAAAACAATAAAAAGAAAGAAAAAAAAAACAAGATAAAAAAGAGATGAAAGAAAAAATGTAAAAGAAGGCCCAGACATGCTGGCTCATGCCTGTAATCCCAACACTTTGGGAGGTCAAGGCGGGTGGGTCAGATCACTTGGGCCCAGGAGCTCGAAACCAGCCTGGATAACACAGCAAGTCCTTGTCACTACAAAAAATAAAATAAAATTAGCTGGGGGTGCTAGTGCATACCTGTGGTTCCAGGTATGCTTGGG
This sequence comes from Homo sapiens, assembly GCF_000001405.40. Classification (NCBI taxonomy): domain Eukaryota; kingdom Metazoa; phylum Chordata; class Mammalia; order Primates; family Hominidae; genus Homo; species Homo sapiens. The sequence continues at coordinate 114,992,196 of NC_000012.12, forward strand.
AGGCTGAGGTGGGAGGATCTTCAGAGCCCAGGAGGTCAAGACTGTAGTGAGGTGTGATGTCGCCACTGTACTTCCAGCCTGGGTAACAGAGCTAGACCCTGTCTCAAAGTAAAAAAAGAAAAAGGAAAAGAAAAAGAAAAAAGAGAAATGAAAAGAGAAAAGAAAAAAAAAGAAAAAGAAAGAAGTGAAAAGAAAAAAATTCTAAATCATACAATGCATTCAATTGTCATGTCTTGTAGTTTCTATTAATCTGGAAGAGTTTCTCAGTCTTTTACTGTGCTGGATGTATTGACAGTTTTAAAGAGTACAGGACAGTTATTTTGCAGAAAGTTCATCAATTTGGATTTGTCACATTAGATTTATGGTGGGTGATTTTGACAGGAACAGCACAGAAGTAATGTTATGTTCTCCACAGTGTGTCGTATTAGAAGGTATGTGCTGGCACTGTGCCCTGTTATTGGTGAGGTTTAGCTTTGATCATTTGGTTAAGGTAGTTTCTGCAGTTTCCTCCACTGTAAAGTGACTATTTTTCCCTGTGTAATTAATGAGTATCTTGTGGGGAGATATTTGAAACTATGTGAACATCAGAACTAGGACTTTTAACCCAGACATTCTGACTACAGAATCCACAAACATCTGCTACACTTACCATTTCCCTATATAGTGGGTGTGTGTTCTGGATTTACCAGGCACTATGCTAGTTGAGTTAAAAGTGTTATTGCTTTTAACTCTCACGGTAATTTTCAGAGATATGGGTGTCCCATCTCTCACACTGAGTTTCCCATCTATGTCATAGAAACAGATTCAGGATATGGAATGATAGACAATGGAGGCTTGGAAGGCTGGGGGAGCAGGAGGGTTGTGGATGATGAGAAATTACTTAATGAGTATAATATACGTTATTTGGGTGATGAATACCCTGGAAGCTCTGACTTCACTACTACACAATATAGCCATGTAACAAAATTACACTAGAATCCAATAAATGGATACTGATAGAAACTTAAAAACTCCAAGTATATTCAGGATCCAAATGAGTTAATCAGCTCTTGCTAAAAGAATGAGAAAGGTGATCTCCAGTTCCATCCTCTGGTCGTAGAACCCAAACTAGGAGCTGAAATGGCTCTCACAGATTCCCAAGGAGCAGATGTCCCTGTAAGTATTATACAAACAAAACTCCTGCCAGAGATGGGAACTAATAGGGGAAAATCCATGTGCGTGCAACTTGGAAAGGGCCTGGATCAACTGCAGGAATGGCTTTTTATGAGATTTAATATTCCCCTCACTGGAGACACAGTACTATCGAATAATAAACAGCAGAGTCTGTGGTGTTGATCTTTAAAGTAAATCCTATTGCTATTAGCTTATCTGTCCAACTATTAAAACTAATAAAATAATAAACTCTATGACACAGACACTTAGCTCAGTTTAGTCCTCCCTCCTAACTGCAATTTTCTCCTTCTATGACTGTTGTTTTTTTTCAGCAATTTCCTGCTTATCATTAAACTATCTGGAACATTTTCATACGTTTGGATGACAGTTTTCAGTTGCCCTGGGATATTTTTGTATTCCTCTCTCTCTCTCTCTCGAAATTTATTGTCTATTTTTACTTCAATCTTTACTTAACTTTTGCAGCCTGTCATCCCAGCAGGCAGGAATGCTTCTTTGTCAGGTTCAAAATCACCTGCCTCTTGGGGCCATTGTGAACTTGCTAAAGAAAAAGAGAAAAAGCACTCCAAATTAACTGGGGAGGGGAACCCGAATACTCATTCAGGCTTCATTTGCTATGCAGTCTCTGAGAAACTGGTCAAAATTATTTTATAAGTTTCGAGAAGATCAGGAAAAAAAAACATACAGATGGATTACTTCTTATGTGGGGGTTAACTAAATGTACAGTGATAGCATAAGGCAATCTGAACATAAAATAAAAAGATCCCCAAGTCTCCCTTAGACTATTCCTGTACTAGAGACCAATATCTCATCCTTCTATAAGTCTACCAGATGCAGTTTTGTTTCCATCGTTGAAGATCTCTTTCTGTATTTGAGAACCAGAAAAAGTAGCTGACTGTATTGAAGGGGCATGTTGCATGTTGTATGTAAACAGTCAGCTGTGTTTAAGGGCCATGTATATATGCCCCTAGAATGACACTCAATATAGTGGATGCTCGGACTGAATGAAGACCAAATTTACCCTCCCATCTCACTTTTTGGGGCATGTGCTCACAGTGAAATGTTTTGGTTCTCCCTCTCTCTCTCCCTCTTTGTCCTACAGCAGAGAGTTGGACTTTCTTATAATAACTGTATCAGGCAGGGTGCGGCGGCACATGCCTGTAATCCCAGCACTTGCACTTGGGGAGGCTGAGGCAGGCAGCTCACATGAGGCCAAGAGTTAGAGACCAGCCTGGCCAACATGGCAAAACCCTGTCTCTGCTAAAAATACAAAAATTAGTCAGGCATGGTGGTGCGTGTCTATAATCCTAGCTATTCAGGAGGCTGAGGCATGAGAACTGCTTGAACCCAGGAGGTGGAGGTTGCAGTGAACCAAGATGGCACCACTGCACTCCAGTCTGGATGACAGAGCAAGACTCTGTCTCAAAAAAAAAAAAAAAAGAAAAATCAAAAGACAAAATCTTATTGATGAGACGACCTCCCTGTATTTAATTCTGCAACACCCAGATCTCAGCAGGCCACAGACTTTACAACTTCATTCTATTGATTTTCTGGCCTCAGTCTTAAGAGCATCACAGGTTCTAATATAAAGGAAGACCCTGGGATGAAAGGCTGTTTTCATGTCTCAGGCATCTTGTATTCTATCTCTAGCCATCAGTATTAGCAGTGTTTTGCCAATGTTCAGAAAAGCATAGTATCAGGTGACAATCAACAGACTGAATGGTAATTTGACCCACTGCCAAAACCCCGCAGGTCTTACACCTTCCCCCTTCTTTTTAACTTAGTGGATTTGTGTATGTCTGTGTCTGAATGAGGTGAGAAATATGTTATTCAGGCAAAAAGAAAGACGTGCTTAGGAAGAGTTTTAATTTGGCCTGAGTACTTTAGTACCTCAAAAAGGACTTTACTCCACACCCTGCCCCCACCCAAGTATAAAAGAAACATATATTCATTCCAGAAAATATGGAAAAAGCAGTATATCAGTCAAGGGACATGACTGTAAGAAACATAAGCCAACTCTGACTGGCTTAAGCAAAACTTAATTTATTTGATGCATGGCCTGGATAACCGAGCACTGGCAGGAGGTTTTGCAAACTGGGTTTAGAAAGCGGGAACGAATTACGGAAGCTATAGGAGGCAGGAGAGCAAGAGCCATAGCTATAGTGCCATGATGGGAAGTTTCAGGTCAGCACACCTCTGCTTGTGGTGAATGGCCTGGAACTGCTCTTCCTGTTGCATCATTCACTAATTCACTAAAAATGCAAAGTCTTGGGACAGGGCATCTGATTGGGTGGACTAAGGTCACATGACTATTTTCTGGTTGTATCTCCCAACTTCTGTAGTGAAAGGCAAACACCTAAAATTCCCTGGCCACCAATGCACCATATGGGATCCCTCAAAATAAAATTGGGATATGGTAGTCAAGTCCCTTGATCTCCCCCTGTGATCCATGATTTTCACCTCCTGGTGTTTACACTCTCGTGTAGCACCCCCCCCGCCCCCGACACACACACACACACACACACACATACACACATATACATTGAATCACAGCTGGTCTGTATGAGCAATAGATTATGCTAGAGGAAACAGTGCATAGCTTCAGAGTTGGGTCATAAAAGGCATTGTGCTTCTTCCTTGGTCTCTTGGATTGCCTACTGTGGGAGAGGCAGCTGTCAAGTCATAAGGATACTTAAGCAGCATGTGGAAAGGCCCACGCTGGGAGAAAGTGAGGCCTCCTGCCAAAAGCCAGCATGAATTTGCTAGCTGTGTGAGCTGGGAGTGACTCAACTTGGAAGCAGATGCTCCAGCCCCATTCCTGCTTTCAGATGAGAGTGCAACCCGAGACAACATCAAGACTGCAACCTCATGAAAGACTCAGCCAGAATCACCCAGCTGAGCTGCTCCTAAATTCTTGACCCACAAAAACTGCAAGACACAATAAATGTTTATTCTTACTTTAAGTGTCTGAGTTTTGGAGTGAGTTGTTACACAGCAATAGGTAATTAAAACAGTGTCCTCCCAGATCCCTGGAGGTTCTTTTAATTGGCTGTGCAGGTGCTGTTGTTAAGAACTCCAACCTACCGTCTTCTCCAGAGCACTACTCCTGTGTGATGTGCACTCCCTCACCCACAGGTCCCTGAGAGTTAGATATTTCCCCATCTCCCACCCCCAGCATGCAATGCAGTCGATTTTTCCGTCGGTACTTCTCCCTTATCTCAAAAAGGTACTGACCCTATGATGCAATTTACACTCTAGAGCTCCTCTCAGGACCAGGCTGAGGCTGCACTGCACTGGAAAACACATCTTTTCTGCTTCTCCCCTTCTCTATCTTGCTTTCCTCACGACCTTACAAGTTGAAAACATATCCTCAGTAAACAACTTACACAAGAATTTGCATCTCAGGTGCTACTTCTAGGAAGGAGTAGTGGATCCAAGCTTCTTTCCTCTGAGCTTCTATAACAAAATACCACAGACTTGGTGGCTTATAAACAACAGGAATTTGTTTTTCATCATTTAGAGGCTGGAGGTCTGACATCAGGGGGCCAGCATAGTTGGGTTCTGGTGAGGGCTGTCTTCCTGGCTTGGCTGCCTTCTTGCTGAGTGCTTATATAGTGGAAAGAGGGCAAGAGAGCTCTCTGGGGTGCACCCTCATGACCTAATTACATCCCAAAGTCTCCACCTCCCTATACCATCACATTGGAGGTTAAGATTTCAATATATGAATTTGGTGCAGGGACACAAACATTCACAGAACTTCAGTCCATAGTACGTGCAAAGGAGAAAAAAACATGAGATATGACTAATATTGTTTATCCTATCAAGAGCCCAACTTGTCTCCCCCCAACCCAAGTATTTACACTACTCAAATATATGCATCTCCCTATACAAGCAGAGACAGATCTGCCTCCTCCCTGTAGGGGTAAAAAAAAATCCATATCTTGTTAGTGAATGCACTTAGCCACAAGCACAAGCTTCCTGGGTCAAGTTTATTTTCTTCTATTATTTTGTGCCCTATTTCAGTATCTTGCAACCTATGAAACGGCAAATTTAACTATTCCCATATACCATAGTCTGTGAAAAGGAGAAGAAAGATAATCAAAAGTATTTAGAACATATCAATGTATATCTGACACAAACAAACAAGATACAATAAATTTTCATAAAAACTCAAAGGCCATGGATAGGATTTGCTACCCTTTCACATCCCATTCCATATTTTCTGTTTGAGTTTATTTACCCCATGAGGTGATCCAAGCCTTTATTTCTGAGAGAACTAAATCCTTGATGTCCTTAAATGGAAGGACTTGCCATAATTTTCCATTCACTTTGACCACTGTATGTAGCTGCATGGGGCTGGAAGACACCCAAGGAATCCCCTTAGTTCCATTCAGACTCCTCCAGCTCATGTTGTAAATCAGAATTTCTGCTTTCCTTTGATAGAGAGGGTCACCAATCCCAGCCTGCTAGCACCACAAACCTCTCTTTTTATTGGAACATAAGGAGTACCTAGAGCTGCAGGCTTTAGTTGGGCTAGTTGGGCTAGTTGGCCAGTCATAGTTAGGCTCCCTCTTGGAAGCATCACATGTCGAGATTCAGATTCTGAGAAGTTATGTGAGCGTGCCCAAGTCACCCAATGGTAGAGACTTGAATTCATGTCTATCTGTTTCCAAAGTTTGAATATTTAGCTGATTCATCTGCTTCAGTGAGTGTAAAGACCTTTGTATTCTGTGTAGGTCGTGGCAGAGGACAAGTAGAAGGGGGTATTAGCAGAGAAATGCCACCCAAGAAAAGGCTGTGTGGGGTAGTGGAACAACCCATGGCTAGAGTCCCAGCTCTGTACTTATATTTATTCAATGTATTCAACATTATTTGGCAAGCTCTTTCTATGTGGCAGGCACTGTCCTAGGCACTAAAAATAGAGCAGTGCTCATAAACAAACTCTTGCATTTTCCTTTTTAGTCATCTGTCCCCTGCAAGTTATTTCACTTCTCTGAGCCTTGCTCTCCTGCCCTATAAGATGAGGATATTAATACCTACCAGATGAGAGCAGTCAATTTGTTTTGTCACTAGGAAAGTGAGGACATTAATATCCAATCTTGCTGGGAGAATTAAATCAGGCAAATGTAGATAGATCCATTTATTGCACCAACAGTTATGGACCATCTACTGTGTGGCAGTGGCTGGGCTGAGCTCTGAGAACACATCCAGTGAACGAGCCAAATATAGTTTCTGCTGTCTTCGACCTTGCACTGAGTAAAGTTGGATATTAAGCAAAAAATCACAACCATGACTAGGGTTTTCAATGGATATGCAGGTAGCCACAGTGACTGCTATTATTCTTCCTTTTCCTTGCCCTGCTGGTGCTTGTTTCCTCCTACTTCAAGGTCTCCAGAGTTGGGGGAGCTCACAACGCCTCTCTTGTTTGTCTAGGGAGTCCTGAAAAAGAGAATAACATTTTGATGCTGAACGGCAGAGGCAGGGAAGAGTTAAAGTAGAAAAGTTCCTCAAAGGGGCAGCAACCAATGAGTCTGCTGCCATCCTGGCTGAGTCTTGCTGTCCCTTTGCCATGGCTTTAGGTTTATGGAAAAAAAATAGGCTCTTTAGAGAGGAAGAGAGGAAGTCTGTTTTCCTACAGCTCAGCTGAAAATCTCATCGTTCTGTGGAATTCTTTTCCCCCTTTAATGTGCACAGTTTTGGGATGAATTTTGCTCCTCTGTCAGTTTCCTCTGGATGTTTTATTGTAGGGAGGACTTATGGACTCTGCAACCAAACATAAATGGCCAAGTCCTAATTCTGTAGTTCCTTGGTTCTAGCAGCATGTGCCTCGAAAGGTGCCTGGCATGCAGTAGGTGCCCCACAAACATTTGCTGGATGAATTGCCGCCTGGGGACCCCAGGGTAGTCATAATATTCTGGAAGATCTGTCTTTTCACTCCTCTTGTTTGCAGAAGAAAAAAGTGTCAATCTGTCTTTCTGCATTGGCAGGTCTGTCAGGGTAGAAATACATCAGGGTTCTAGATAATTCATGTTTGAGGAACATCTGCTAGATATGTCATTCCAGTGGCATTTTACAGGTCAGTTCCTTGAAATATTTAAAAAAACCAGGAGACAAGCACATCACACCCATTTTTCGCTCCCACAAGAACAGGCTATGAAATGATTCTACTTTGACCCCTAATTCATTTCCGTGGGGATTCTGCTTATTAGTTGCTGCAAGTCTCATGTGTCTGGCAGAGATGTGTCTGTCTTCTTGTTGGCTAATGGTTTTGTCATTAGCCTGATGAATAGACTTGATCTAACATTCTTCAACTCCAGAGTAGGACGGACTCTTCCCCTCACCACCCTGCTGACCCTGTCAGTTTACAGCACAGAAATCTTCCAGTTGGGTTTTGTAAGGAGGCAGATTAAACAGAAAAAGTGTTTCTTCTTCCCTGGCCAAGTCATTTTGGATTGAGAGCGTACAAAAGTTGCTTTGTAGTTTGAGAACTGCTCATAAAAGTAAATTTCTTTTTTGATGCAATGATTAGAATTGCTTTGCTAGAAGAAAGTTACATATAACTGGTTACTTACTAGCATATCTTGTATATTATAATAACCTCAGGCACATGATAGGCATATTTATTAAATGAATAGTCATTATGTAAATGGAAAAAGATAAATAAGACCAAAGGGTGACAGATATTCAACAAATATTTGATGAATAAAGAAGTTAACAGATAAAATAAATGAATGAAAGTAGTTCCCAGGATGAAAGAAACATGAAGTCACTGCGACTGGAATGTGCTAGAGAATTGCAGGGTGTCTGTCAGCAGATAATGGTGCCCTTGCTTTTCTTCCCACAATTCGCAGGGGAGGTTTCTCTGCACCTGCCTTTGTCCAAGGTGACTCATTTCTTCCGGCCACAATTGTTTGACCAGAAATGGCATCTAGCCCCAGGGGACAAATAAAAAATATCTTCCCCAAGAAGACAGAACTGAAGCTTAGATGAAGATTCTGTGTTGCAGGGACAGTAATATGCTCATGTGACTACTACAGGAAGCCATCTTTCGCTTGCCAATGAGATAAGGAAGAAGGAAAAGATAATCTGCCATGAGGAAGAAGAATAAAATAATAGAAAAGAGGGAGAGAGAAAGAGAGAGGGAGGGAGGGAGGGAGAGAGGGAGAGAGAAAGAGAGAGAGAGAGAGAAAGATTGAATCAGGAAAGAGAAATGGGCCGCACCCTGTTGCTAATGTCTGTAATCCCAGCACTTTGGGAGGCTGAGGTGGGTGAATCACCTCAGATCAGGAGTTCAAGACCAGCCTGGTAAACATGGTAAAACCTGGTCTCTACTAAAAATACAAAAATTAGTGAGGTGTGGTGGTGCATGCCCGCTTAAACCTGGGAGGCGGAGGTTGCAGTGAGCCAAGATCGCGCCACTGCACTCCAGACTAGGTGACAGAGTGAGATTCCGTCTCAAAAAAAAAAAAAAAAAAAAAAAAGGGTGGGGGGAGAGGGAGAGAAAGGGAGATAGAGAAATGTCTAGATACCTGAGATTCTTCTAGTTCCCAGATATAACCCCAAATCTTTATAATTTCTTCAACATTTTCCCTGAAGTTAGCATACATTGATTTATGTCATTACAAACACTCTTTTTTTTTTGAGTCAGGGTCTCACTCTGTTGCCCAGGCTGGAGTGCAGTGGCACGTTCTCAGCTCACTGCAACCTCTGCCTCCCAGGTTCAAGTGATTCTCCTGCCTCAACCACCCAAGTAGGTGAGTTTACAGGCATGTGCCACCACACCCAGCTAATTGTTGTAGTTTTAGCAGAGACGGGGTTTACCATGTTGGCCGGGCTGGTCTCTTAACTCCCGGTCTCAAGTGTTCCATCTCAGCCTCCCAAAGTGCTGGTATTATAGGCGTGAACCACTGCACCTGACCCCCCAAACACTCTTAACATATGTGCCCAGAGATGAGACATTGTAGCCTTCATGGTCTTTGTCCATTCAAAGGCAAAGACTGGAACTCTCAAGCAGCCTTGCTAATACTTCCAGTTCCCTTCCTACTTCTTAAGGTCCTAGGTTGTAATGAGTATTTTTTTTTCTTTTTAAGTATAAAAAAAGAAGAAGGAGGAGAAGAAAGCCGAAGGGGGGAGGAGAAAGAAAAAATGAAACCCCTTTGCCCTCAAGTCTGTGAACTGGCTGATGAGGCGCTGCTATTTGATTTGGTTGCCACTCAAGGCTGAGGTTTTTCTTCTCCACTTTTCGCATGGACTTCTGTTGCTTTTTCTTGGCTTCTGGTTGCTCAAGAGGACTGAAGGGTGTCCAGGGCAGGGCTGTGGTGTTTGCATTGGCTGTCAGAGCTGAAGGGGCGGCAGAAGGGCCTGACCTCCACCTCAGAGCAACAGGAGTTTCCTTTCTGGGGTTCCTTGTCTCGGGGATTAGGACAAAACACACCCACAGTTGAGCTTCAGTAAAACCTGATTAGAGTCTCCCGGAAGTGTTTGTTTTGTGGGGCTACCACTACAGATCATGGGAAACAAATGCTTCTTCTCTTCCTCTCTCTTCTCTTCCCCAGCAAGGGAGGCTGGTGGTTTTGGCTGCCTTGGTGGAAAAACCAATACTCTTCCGCAAATGGGTTCTTCTCACAGCCGTGAATTAGTGTTGGCACAGACGCCTCTGAGTGGGGATCCCACAAAGGTGCAAGCCTTTGCAAGACAGGACCTCAAAGACGTGGGGTGGATGGGGCGGGTGGGTCAGGTAGAGAGCCAAGGAGGGCAGTGGGTGTCCCTAAATGGAAATGCTGACAAAACTGAGAGTTAGGAGGGACAAGGTGTCCTGGCACCTTTCTCCGTGTCAGACAGGGCACTTCAGCCAGTTTGCAAGGTGTTGGCCAAGGCATCTGTGAAACCCAGCAGCCAGAAACCTCATGACTGGCTGGGAAAAGCACAATTATAACAAGAAGAAGAAGAAAGGAGCTTGTTTTATGAATACATTTGCAGAGCCTGGAAACTGCAGGGAAGGGGAAGTTTAACATAATGGGACCCTCGTGGAATCCCTCTCATCCGCCTAAAACACACACCTCTGTGGTTTCTTTTCTCCCCGATGTCCTTTCTCAAGCACCACCTCCACCTTTGCCACCCTGACCCCATTGGCTGGCCTTTTCCTCCCCTTGCCCTCACCAATCAGCTGGGTCTGCCAGTCCGAAGGCTAGGGCATGACATGTTTGCACCATGCGTAAACACCACTCACCATTAAGAGCTCCCTCTAATGAGAAACAGAGCCACAGAGGGGAAGCTTCAAAGTGGTTAACGGAAGGAAGTGCCTGGAATGAAATCCGACTTGATGTCCCAATTAATACGTCCCCTAATTCTATTTCCTGCCCTTGCGGGCTTGCAGCCGCCTCCCTCTAATTTCTGTGGGAGACAGAGACTCGGCTGATGGGGAGGAAGAAACCTGGAAATGGGGCGGCTTCACGGATGACTTGATACACAGGCAATGGGCATATTAGGACAAATTAGGGAATTAAGGAGGAGGAAAAAAAAGAGACGACGACAGTCAGAGGAAATGTCATCTGAAGTAATAGTATTAATGGAGACTGGGGCATTGCTGGAGAGGGTGGCTGGAGAAATTGAGAGCTCCAAACACCAGCCAAATTGTCTTTTATTTCAGGCTGGGAGAGAGTAGCCATTGCCAGACCCTTTCTTCTCTGCTCTAGGATGTTGGGGGAAAAACAGCCATGGGCCTGTTCAGCAGGATTAGAGGCAGGCCCCAATCTCAGCCCAAAGTCTGTTGTATCCAGGTGAAGGCTTTATGGAAATAAAATGAAATATAAAGACATCAGCCTGGCAATAGTCAAGTTAGAATAAGTGGTGCGCTCTGGAAGTGTGAAAAGACCTTTGGAATATCTCTTTATAGTCTGGTCAGCCTGAAAGTCCACCATTTGATTGCTCTTTTTCAGATAGGCATTGCCCTCTCTGTATCGTCCCATACAGAGAAAGATGCTTGCAGAGGGTAAAACGTGGCATCCCTGAGGCAGTGGGATAAAGAGTTTGTCAGGGAAATCAGACACCCCAGAAGAAGTGGTGACCAGAAGACCCTCATCCATTCGGCTGCGATATTTGAGCAATCTCCGATTGATTCCCATCTTCAGTTTCTCCAGCACTCTTTTCTATCCTCTGTCCATCTTGCACACACCTGCCTCATGATCTTTCTAAAATACAAAACCCATCTTGTCTTCACCCCACTTAAATATCTGGTGGGGCTCCCCAGTGCCTGTGTGGTCAAGTCTGGCCACTTTAGCATGGCATTTAAGGCCCGTCATAAACCATATGAGTTTTCTCTGGAGCCTGGCTATCCTCCACTCTCCTCCTGGGCCTCCACCCAATCCCAGGGTCTCCCCAGCCTGCCAAACTCATTCCTTCTCCATAGCCTTGCACTAGGTGACTTCCTCCAGCTTTATCTTTCTCCCTCTTCTTTGCCCAGGGGGCTCCCTGTTTACCCAACAAGTCTAAGTTCAAATGGCGTCTCCTTATTAAAGCCTTTCCAGGCATCTAAGTCATCTCTCTGTGTTCCTGGGGGCCGCTCTTTGAATTTCTGCACCATCCCATATCCCACTGCATTGAAATAATTTGCTTTCGTTTCTGGTTTCCCCAGGAGATTGAATCTCCTAGAAGACACACAGAGGACAGAACTAATGGTACACGTTTCTGTATATGTGCAGTGTTTGACATAATATCAGAGCTCAATAAATGGAGAGAGAAAGAAGGGAGAAAGAAACAGAGGGACACAGCAAGAGATAGAAGAAAGGAAGTGCAGAAAGAGCAGGAAACATCTAGAACTGCATTGCATTGTCCACGGCATAATTTTATGATTATTTAACCCAGCCACTCACTTAGATGTAAGATTTGGCTGAATTCATTTTAACACTCCTTCAGTTTAAGCAAATTGGCCAGGCTACACAATGCAACCAATGTTTAAGAGCCTATGCTTTGGAAATTTGGACGCAAATTCCCCACTGGGGAAGTCACTTCCCCTCTCTGGGCCTTAGCTCTCTTATCAGTAAAATGGGAACAAGATGACCTTGAGGAGCAAACAAGGTGAAATACTTAAAGTGCCTTGCCCAGTGCCTAATACGTAGTAAGTGATCGATAAAATCTAATATATATGAGAGTCTTAGCTTGGGAATTCTGCTGTCTTCTCAGGCCATCTGAGGTTCTTTCTCCCTCCTATTACTGGCCTCTGCTGCCCGGGCTCTGCCCTATAATCTGAATTGTTTGCTCTTCCTGCTGCCAGGATAGACAACCCAGGGAGTAGTCCTTGCATCCATGCCAACAGTTACTGGCATTTTGGTTACTGGGAATGATGTCACTCCTGTGTCTTGGCTCCTTAAAGGATCTGATGCATGCCACACACATATGCAAATAAAAGAAAGTTTCCTGGTTATATCCTCTACTTGGGAGCAGAAGTGGTGGCAAAAATTTGCAGGTCTGAGATCATATGTCTGAGTTCCTCTGCTGTGGTTTTCCAGACAGTGAAGAACCTGGAGGAACTGCTGAGGCCACACAGTGGGGCTTTTCCATTAACGTAAACCTCTGCACAACTTGAATTCTTTTTCTCACGTCCCTAGGACCTTGTGTTCTTGTTTGGAGCAGAAGTCACCACTCCCTGGCCAGACAGTGCCTGTTCATGTAAACATGGATGCAGTGGTCAAAGAATTCCGTGTTGGAATTTCTCCTTAGGAAATCACTGCAGACAAGAGAATGTTCTTAAGGTCCACAGAAGATGGCTTCAAGGTTGGCTAGGGCATCACCCGAGTCTTTCTCCAAGGGGATGAACTGGGTGCTAGTGGTATTGAGAACTTACCTGAGGCCTTTCTATTGGAATAGTCTGTGGATGTGTTTGAGTCAAATACATTTTACTATTGACAAACTTTGGTCAGGAACCAGAGAGTCTCCCTTTTCTTGACAACTCACGGTATTGGCAGAGTTCTTCCTTCTTCTCATCCTCCTTTTCCAAATACTTCCAGATCCATGATTTACTGGAGATCCTTCTTTGGGGTTTGAGACTTTTTAAAGTCTCCATTTGATCGACTTGAAAAAGATGGCACTGAAAGGTTAACATTAAGTGTCATAATTGCATGATGTGCTACCCAGATCCATTTCAGGACTGAAGGACTTATTCTCCCCAGCTTCTAGGGGTGTTGCCAGCTGAATGCTTTTAGCTCCCAGCCCTCTGTAGGTATTGACCTCAGCTGGAAAGATCCCTCTCACTCAATATTCCATCTTCCTCCAAGGTCAGCCCACATCCAAAGATTGGTGTGGCAAGAGAATTAAGGCATATCACCCTGTCCCCAGCTGAAGGGTCATCCCATTTTCAGAACCCCCATGGGGTCGGTTGAGGCCTTTGCTGAGACTGCATCACAGCTCAACTTCTCCTTCCACCCAATCCTGATTTTTTTCCCCTCCCTTCTAGCTCGAATATATGTCCTGCACATTAATCTTTACCCCAGAATGTTTCCTAGAGAATCTGCAACCTCAAGGTCAGACAAGGTGAAAGGGGCCAATGTGAGTCTGGAGTACAAACATCAAGACTTCTGCTCAAGACATCCATGGCCAGTTCCTGAGTGCTTACTAGGTACCAGGCACTGAACCAGGAGCTGTAGATGAGGTGATGAACAAAGCTCATGGGACCTGCTCTCATGGGACCATATTTAGAATGCAACAGACACTGAATTTATAATTATTTACAGGGGTGATGAGTAGTAAGAAGAGAAGGTAGAGGATGCTAGAGAAGTAAATAACGGGTATCACACCAATCTGGGGGATAATATAAGGCTTCCTGGAGGCAGTGACGGTTGGATTAGGACCAAAGGATGATGAGGACAAGTTAGCCAGGCAAAGATAAGGGAGGGAAAGACAGTAGCTAAGAACAAGTAGAGTTTGGAGGATGTATGCCATGACAATATAATTCACAGGACTCTGGGAGAGGGGGGGAGCATGGTATAAAAGGAGTCTGGGTGCATGAGGCAGTGGCTTGGACCACTTGGATAATCCGGAAAGCTCTGGATCACATTTACTGCTTCACTCAAAGATAGGTAGAATCTATTTCTCCTCACTCTGAATCTAGCTGGGCTTGTGACTTCCTTGACCAATAGGCTATAGCAGAAGTGATGCTATGCCAGTTCTTGGCCTAGGCTCTAACAGGCGTGGTGATAGCAACCTTCACTTTGGAAGCCTGCCATCAGGTTGTAAAGAAGCTCACATTACTACTGAATAATGAAACATCCCACGGAGGACAAAAGACCACATGGAGAAACACTGAGCTTCCCTGCATCTGAGGAAGCCCACGTGGACCTTCCAGCTCAGCCCAGCAAACAGCTAAATGCAGTAAGTGAACCCAAACAATGCCCCTAAACTGGGGCCAAAGAACCACCCAGCTATGCCTAGCCTGGATTCTTGACCCACAGGATTGTGGAAAATGATAAATCATTTTTGTTTTGAACCGTGAAGTTTTGAGTTGGTCTGTTACACAGCAATAGCTAACTGAAACATTCTCCCTCAGGAAAAGAAAATCCCTCATACACATCTATCTTTAACAGCTCACAATTACTGAGTGCCAACAATGTACCAGACTTTGTGCTATGGGAGTTTTATATTTTATTTCATTGAAATCTCACCAAAAACCTGATGAAGTAGGCATTTATGTCCATTTTAGATGAGAAAAAAAAAAGAGGTTCAGAATAAATGTGACTTGCTCAAGTCACTCAGCTAGTGAAGTGGTGAAATATGGATTTGAACCCAGAACCCAGGTGGTGTTTTTTTGTTTCATTTTTTGTTGTTGTTGTGGTTTTTTTGTTTTTTTTGTTTGTTTGTTTTTGAGAGAGTGTCTCTCTCTGTCACCCAGGCTGGAGTGCAGTGGCACGGTCTCGGCTCACTTCAACCTTCAAGCGATTCTCCTGCCTCCTGAATAGCTGGGACTGCAGATGAGCACCACCATACCCGGCTAATCTGTGTATTTTTAGTACAGATGGGGTTTTGTCATGTTGGCCAGGCTGGTCTTGAACTCCTGACCTCAGATGATCTGCCCGCCTCAGCCTCCCAAAGTGCTGGGATTACAGGCGTGAACCTACTGACTTTTCTTGCATGGGCTTGGGGAGTTAGGTCAAGGAGACCTGGGCCAAACACTGGATCTATGGGAAGATTAGTCTGTGGATGGCAGATACCACTGAGCTAAGGCTTGTACTTTTCGGACAGTAATTCCTGCATCTCAGGTACTGCCATGGCTATCCAATGCCTCCTAGGATGCCTGGTTCCTCAGTCAGTAAGATTTGTCACACAGAGGTCAGGGCAGGGAGAGACCAAACCCAAACCGCAGTTCGTAGAGCTGGTTGTTAGCCCCAGTTTTGCCTCTAACTTGCCAGACTTGGGTCATGTCTTCCCGACCCTGTACTCCTATTTCTCCATCTGCAAAATGAGAGCAGTGTTTTCCTGGCATTTCCAGATTCTTCTTATCAGCAAACCACCAAATCTGTTACACACTCAGTTTGTTCATCGTCTTACATTTGTAGACTTGTCCAAAGATAAAAAATTTATTACCTTGGGGATTTAAACATTCTAGTGGTAGATTTTTTTTGGATGCGCCTGAAAACGAATTTTAAAAATGCCTGTATGTTACCACCTGCAATCACCCCACGTGCTGCTGTGATGTGGATACTACCTTGGTAGACCTGGACCCAGGTGGTCTAGGTGGGCCTGTTGTTCTGGTAGAGGGCCTAAGTCTTGGGCAGAAAAATGGGTTTCAAGCCTGGGTCCCGCTAACCTGGCCAAATGACACCTCTTAAACCAGACTTTGAGGAAATGAGACACAAACCACCCAGCAGCCTTGTTCTTCAACTACAATTACCCCATTAACAGCAAAACTATCTCATTCTGGATTTTCTCCATCTCTGAGCAGCCAAGCTTCAGACAAGGGGCTCACATTGGCCCCTTTCACTTTGTCTGTCTTGGCAGTTGCAGACTCTCTAGGAGCCAGGTTCTTGGGTGAGGATTAATATGCTGGGCATATATTGGAGCTAGAAGGGAAGGAAAAGAATGAGGATTGGGTGGAAAGAAAAGTTCAGCTGTGATGTAGTCTCAGCAAAGGTTCAACTGACCCCACGGGGGTTCTGAAAATGGGATGACCCTTCAGCTGGGGACAGGGTGATATGCCTTAATTCTCTTGCCACACCAATCTTTGGATGTGGGCTGTCCTTGGAGGAAGATGTGATATTGAGTGAGGGGGGATCTTTTCAGCTGAGGGCAATACCTACAGAGGGCTGGGAGCTAAAAGCATTCACCTGGCAACACCCCTAGAAGCTGGGGAGAATAAGTCCTTGAACCAAGGCACTTTTCAGGCTCTTTGCAACCAACCCAGCCTCGCCTTTTTCTCCAGGTGGGCAGGGAAACTGGAGGCTTCTCATGCCACACAGCAGCCCCTCATTACAGAATGAGAGCTTCCACAAGTCAAGCCCCTCATTACAGAATGAGAGCCTCCACAAGTCAGGCTCAGGAGAAAGACACTAGGCAGGGAGGAAAAACCAAGCTGAGAAAAGGGAGTTCAGTTCCTCAATACTGGATGGTGAGAACTTCCTCCTCATCTTTCCTTCTAGAGAAATTTGGTATTTTAAGAGCCCCTTGTCTGAGGCTTGGCTGCCAGGAGATGGAGAAGATCCAGAATGAGATTGTTCTGCTGTTAATGGAGTAACTGCAGCTGAAGAACGAGGCTGCTGGGTGGTTTGTGTTTCATTTCCTCAAACTCTGGCTGGGTCACTGGCGTGTTACATTAAGTTTCAGAGCTAGCTGTGTAGAGTAGAAAGAGTACTGGATGGAGAGAGAATAATAGTGCATAACAACAACACCCGTCACCATCACCACCACCACCATCATCATCATCAGTAACATTCACTGAATGTCTACATTCTTGACATGGCTTAACTTACCTGATTGAAACTCTCAACAACCCCTTATGAGATAGGTTCACTCTTCCCCCGTTTTACAGATAAATAAAGGGGTATAAAGAGGTTAAGTCAGTTGATCAAGATTTTACACCTGGTAAATGCAGGTATGAGATATAGCTGCAAGATGCAACACTGAACTTGTTCCTTCCTTCTCTCTGGGCCTTGGGGATCCATTCTGTAAAATGAGGGTTTGAGCAGATGGATGGTGGCTTAACAATTTTATTTTTAAAAAATCATGGGCCATTTCTTCAAATGAAGCTGATCAGAAAGTGTAAGATATAAACAAGAACCAAGTGAGATTGCCCTGTTGATGTAAAGTGAAGGTATTTAGAATTCATTTACAAACCGGAGGGAAAAGAGCTTCTCTTAAGGTGCTTTCTAACTTTGTTGTTTCATGTTTCTGAAAATCAAATTTGTGGAAAGCTCAGAGTCTCTGTGGATGGGTTAAGGTGTAGTTCTTGATGCTGCAGTTCAAGGTAGCAAAGGTCCTTGATTGGAGACTTTCCACCATTCATCCCCCTCACATGTCAGGCTCTTATCGAACTGAGTACCTAGCCTGATGAAGAGCAGAGGGATAAAAGGAAGAAGAGATGTTCTTTCTTCCTTTTAGATTTTTGTAACTTTTGGGGAAAAGGGAGTGGAGAGGGAGAGACAAGTTCATGGGTCATTACAATGTTGAGTGATAAGTATTTTAACATAAATAAGTACAGAGCACTGAGAGAAGGGGCTTTTAATTCATACTCAGGATAGGAAGGCTTTCTGGCATGAAAAACGGTTAATAGAAAGAGCTAAAGGGAGTGGGGGACATGGGGCGAGGAAAACATTTCAGGGAGTGGGAGACGCGTGTGCAAAGCCACAGAAGAGCGAGTCATTGAGAAACTGTAAGCTGTGTAGTGTTACTGGGATGCAGTCATGGCCAAAGGCATTAGCAATTGACGGCTATCTATTTTATGGCCTTCTCCCTCTGCTCCCACCATCCTATCCTCTTCTCAATGCTCTATTCTGCCTCAGCACAATGAGGAGTACAAGGGGCAAAAGGTTGATATTTGGCAAGTACTTGGTTCTTGGTTAAATCCATCATAAGAACCCACACATACTTAGGTTTTCCAAGAAACTCAGCTCTTGCCTTCTTAATACAAACAGGAAACAGAAAACTGCTACCCATACTCAGTGGTAACCTGGACATTTCCAGATTGAGTAAATAAGATGACATCATGGGAGGAGAAGACATAAGAAAGCGTGGTGTGTTTCACTGCAATGAAAAGCAGCCTTCTAGGGGGAAGCTGGTCCGCACCCCTCAAACCCGTTCTCCCCCATTTCTCTCCCTAGTGTCTGATTCTTTCTGTTGCCTCTGTGACTCACTATTTCACAAGGTGGTTTACTTGTATTCCCTCTCCGGTGATGCATCATTACCAGAAAATAGGTCTCATAGCGCAGGGTGAGAAACCAAAAGGCAAGGGGTAAGAGAGAGTGGTTGCCTAATGGGTGCCTCATGAAAAACTGGTTGTGAAATCTGAGTTCACAACCCCACCTGCAATGCCCTGGATGTCTGATCATAGAGGCCTGGCCCTGTGTGCCAAGAGTGAGAGCCCATAGTTTGATGTCACAGAAAGCTGGGTTACCACAAACTTTATTTTGTCTGATATTCATATTACAAAACCAGCTTCCTTTTGATTCGTATTTATTTAGAATTTTTAATCTTTAATTTTCAACTTTCTATTAATTTATGTATGCCTCAGGAAAAGCACATGGTTGATTTAAAAAAAAATCATTCCCAATTCTCTGTCTTTTAACTGAAGAGTTTAATCCCATTATGATTAATGTGATTCCAGACTAGTGTGGATTTATTTCTACCTTCTGATTATGAGGTTTCAACTTACATTTATTTTTTAAGACTGTATTTATTTTTAAAGCAGTTTTAGGTTCCCAGGAAAATTGAGGAAAAGGCAGAGAAATATCCCATACACCCTCTGCCCCGACGTGCGCAGCCTCCTCCATCATCAACACCCCCTCCCACCGCCAGAGTGCTACCTTTGCTGCCACTGGTGAACCCACATTGACACGTCATTATCTTCCAACTCCAAAACCTACAGAATGTACAACACCAAGAGTGAACATCAGAGTTCACTGTAGGTTTCAATAAATGTATAATGACATGTACCCACCATTACAGTATAACACAGAATAGTTTCATTGCCCTAAAAATCCTCTGTGCTCTGCCTCTTCATTCCTCCCTCCCCTTTAATTCTTTACAACCACTGATCTTTTTACTGTTGCCATAGTTTTGCCTTTTTGAGAATGTCATGTAGTTGGAACCATATAGTGTGAGCCTTTTCAATTGGCTTCTTTCACTTAATAATATGCATTTGAATTTCCTCCATGTCTTTTCAAGGCTTGATAGCTCATTTCCTTGCAGTGCTGAATAACCCTGTATTCCATTGTCTGGATGTACGATGCTTTGTTTATTCATTCACCTACTGAGGAACATCTTGGTTGCTTTCAACTTTCGGCATTTATGAATAAAGCTGCTGTAAACATCTGTGTGCAGGTTTTTGTGTGCATATAAGATTTCAACTCCTTTAGGTAAATACCAAGGAGTGTGGTCGCTGAATCATATGGTAAGAGTATGTTTAGTTTTGTAATAAACTGCCAAACTGTCTTCCAAAATGGCTGTGCCATTTTGCATTTTCATTAGCAATTTCTACTTAATCACATTTTCATCTTTTTTCTTTTTGTCTTTGCTTTTTTCTTCCTCCTTTTCTCTTTTGTATTAGGTGGAGAGAATTTTTTTTTACCTTTTCCTTCCCACCCACCTTTTCTTCTCTCCTTCTTCAGAAGTTATTGGTTCTATTTCTATTTTCTAAATAGGCACATTTGATTCTTACCATGCTTATGGTTAATCACTGTAATCAATGTAATAATCCATATAGCCCTTCCTGAGCAAAATGAGGTCCTCAGAACACTTAACCTCCAAACTTTCCCCCTTTCTAGCATTTATATTCTTTTTGTCTACCCACACTAGAGCCCCAACTCCAGCCCCTTCCTCTCTGTATTATGTTGTAAGTAATGTCACCTCCCTGATTCTCAGATTCTTCAACTAAAAAAGAGTAGAAGTCATAACATCTTCTTTGGAGGCTACTTGGATGGCCAGAAACAATGTACATGAGGTGAAAATGTTCCAGGCCATCCACGCATTTATTGTAAAATCTGCTAAAAGTTGAAGAAGTCAGAGAATGATTGCAGCAGGACAATAGGGAAGGACTTTTATTCTCCTTTCCTGCCCCTTCCTTATTTTGTCCTATTTGAACACGCTTTTTATTTTATAATCGATGTCTATTAGGACCTCACTTCCTGTCAAGGCGATGAAGTCTTACAAAGATCCATTTGCACTGAACTCTCCACGTGCAGGAAGTTACTGCCTTGCTCTCTGGACCTCCTGTCTCTTTTCTCTGAATCTTCATTCCCTCCTGTTCCTCTGTCTCTGACCCTGTCTCCATGTCTGTCTCTTCCACTGCCTGGCTCCTTCCTCTTCTTCACTTGCTTCTGACAGTCAGGGTTTCTGCCTCGCCCCGTCTTTCTCTCTGTCCCTCCACGTCTTTGTTTTTCTCATCTCCGCTTCTCTCTCCCTCCGTGTCCAGGTCTCTTCCTGTCCATCCATCTCTCAGCCTCAGCCTAGCTCGGTCCTCCACTCTGATTCTCTCCCATCCATCTCCCTGGGCCTGACAGAGGCTCTTTGTCGAGTCTCTTCCTCTGTCTGCCCCCATCCGTTGTTTTCTCTGTATGTCGCTGGCTGCGCATGTGCCACTGTTTCTATCATTTTCTCTCCATCTAGCCATTGATCTCTGATTCCCCTGCTCCGCTTCTCTGTCTCTCATCCCTGTCACCACCTCCCTCTCTGTCACTTTCTTATTCTCTCCCTGCCTCTTTGCACGCTCTTTGCACATCAGGCCCGGCCCCAGCCCAGGGTCTCTGGGCTCCAGGAAGCCAGCCAGGGGCTGTGCGGGCTGCGCTGTAACTCAGGAACTCCGCCAGCAATCATTTCATTAGGCAGGAATGGCGTTCCCATTACCAGATAGCAGGCCTGCTTCTTCCCCGCCATGGCCCCCTCCCCGCTGCAAAGCCCCCTTGCAACTTCCTGCTCGCAGCAGCCACACAAGGCCTCATTCTAATCCTCCAACTTGTCTGTTTAGTGTCTTTGGAGAGGGGAAAGGAGCAGAAAAGTAGCTTGTCTTTTATTTTTATTTGCCTTCTTTTTTTTCCTTCCTCCAGATATCCCCCTGGGGCACCGGCCTAGAACAGAGCAACAAATATTTACTAATTCCATTAACAGAAGAGAGTTGGAATTTTTTTTTCCCAAGCGAATATCCGAGGCCCCAAGTTCATGGTGAGCCCTCTCCCCCGCATGGCCCCCTCTCCCCCCACCTCCTCCCTACACGCCCAGGACTTATATATAGTTCACTCAGTGCCATTTCCCCAATTTTTTTCTGAAGTTCAAGACAAGTTGAAGGGTCAAAAAGGCAAAGGGTGTTTTAGAAGTTTAGCAGACAGCTTTTGGTACAAGGAAAAGAGAGGGAGAGCTGGAGAGAGGGAAACAGGGTGAAGAGGCAGGAATCTGGCTCGCATTAAGCTGGGAGGTTCCAACCATTGATTCGCTCTGGAATTATGGCTTAAAAAAATTGCAAGACATGGTTTATTCATGAGGGTTCTTTTTTTTTCTTAAGTAGCCACCCAAAGTTACACTTTGGTTCACCAAGACGAAGACTCATCCTTCCTCTCTCTATGGATCTTTCAGGTAGGACTGGGAGTAAAGGGAGGGAGGATGGGAGACGATAGATTTTCAAGACAGTGAGTTCTGAGAACATAGAAGCATCTTCTGGCCAGGCCTATTCAATGTCTTTACCTTCCCTGCTTCTTAGGATAAACCAATGACAATTCTTTGCAAGGGGAAGGGAGATCTCTTATGGGAAGGGGGAACTTCTTCTGAAAGGGCAACTCCTGACCTCTGGTAAAAGAGGACGTAGAGGAAAAAATACGGGATTAGGCTGATGAATGCTACATTGGAAACAGGTTTAGTGATTGCATTCATCTCCTAGAGCTGCCCCCAACAAATGACCACCAACAGGTGGCTTAAAATGAGAGAAATGTATTCTTCCACAGTCCTAGAGGCCAGAAGTCTAGAATCAAGGTGTCATCAAAGCCACACTCCCTCCGAAGGCTCCAGGGAGGAATCCTTCCTTGCTTCTTCCAGCTTCTGATGGCCCCAGGCATTCTTGGCTCATGCCTGCATCACTCCAATCTCTGTTCCCATGTTCACATGGCTTTCTCGATATGTATCAAATCTCCCTCTCCTTTCTCTGATAGGGACACTTGTCCTTGGGCTTAGGGTCCACCCTAAATTAAGGATGATCTCATCCTAAGATTCTTACATCTGCAAAGACCCTATTTCCAAATAAAGCCACATTCACAGTTACGTGGTGGGGGATGTTAGGACTTGGGCTTAGGTATTTGGGAGACACCATTAAACCTACTACAGTGATCATAGAGTGCTTCTCAACAATGCCACATGTGGAAGTCAATTAAAAGCAACCTGGAGCAACACAGCTGGAGAAACGCTTGGTGCTGAGTTCTTTCTCTTCTCTTTCCATCCTGCCTATTACAAGGAAAAAGCCTTAGCTGGGTGCTAGGGTCCTTGAACACTTTCTTACCCCCTTGTGACTCCTCCTTTTTAAGAAAAAGAGATGACATCCCTGGAAGTCAACCTTCAGCAGGTTAAATAAATCCAGTATTTATTATACACTTGATTCACATGACCTTCTATTTATGAAAATAGATACTGGTCTTCCCCTGATGTCATGACATGTAGCTTCCTTTTGGATTAAATTAAATTTGAGCAATTGATAAGCAATTGAGTTGAGAAAAATATTAAGTAGATAAATAATGGAAGTAGTACATAACCATGGCAAGTGTGCGTTTGCTGCACAGGTTAAGGAAAATTGGGAAATACTGAAGCGGCATGCTGGTTTTCCACAACAGCCCAACACCTGTGAGGTTTACCAGCACGAGGGGGGTTAAGACAGGTTCAGTCCGCTGGAGTCTGCTGTTTCTCCTTGAACCTGAGCCACTGTTTCTCATGGTTATATGCATTGGGTTTCCCCATGAGATTTTATTTGGGGGTGGGAAAAACCCCCAAAGTTCCATAACTAAAAGAAAGCTTAACACATCAACCTTCTCTGTCATTTCACTTCTGTTTTACAGATGAAGAAATTAAGGCTCAGGAGGGAGGAAAAAAATAAAAGAAAGAATTGTCCAAGGTCACCAAGGCATCTGGACTCCCATATGTTGAGCTACTTCTGCTTGTGGGGCAGCTGCAATACATGAATTCTTCACTACGTGAGTTATTGTATTAAGTCCTCAGAACAGCACTGTGAAGTTGCTGGAATTTTACAGGGGAGGAAACTGAGGCGCAGAGAGGTTAGGAGCTCATCTGAAATGGCTGAGCTGATAAGGAGAGGAGCTGGGATTCCCACCCATATCTGACTGTCTTTCCATCTGGTGTATTTACTACAGCAGCCTATTGTCTTCTCTCACTGCATGCACACACACACACACACACACACACACACACACACACACACACACACAAGGTTTTTGCACCAAAGCATTTGGCTGAGGACATGCTAAGTCCTGGTTGTTTTTGCAGGCTCTGTATTCACACACCTTGTCCACATGACACTTCTCTGTTGGATCTACTTGGAAGTTCTTGCAGGTGACAGCATATTTCTGGCTTATTCTCAAGGGTATTAAGTGTAAGAGAGACTTTCCTTCTTGGAGAAAGAAGAGGCACTGTGTGTAAAGAGAGAGATTTTGAGCCTAAGGGTGTCAAGTTATTGCTTTCTACTCTGGAAATTTCTAGACATTGGAAGATAATGAAATGAAGCCAATTATCTGGCTTTTTTATTTTAAACAACCAGATGTTGAGCCCTGACACCATGATCACAGGAGTGACCTGCCTCTGATGTGTTAGCTGCTGAGAGTCTACACTGATGATGCTGTTGTATTGTTAGTTCCCTGGCGCAGGCGCTTCCAGAAACTAATGTGAGCCATGAACCTCCTATCCCCATAGCTAAATGCCCACACACAACATTTTTCATACAACTCCTTGGATTTTATATACTCTTGGAAGCTCTTCTCTGAGTTCTGGTGTAAGATTCTCTTATTTACTAATCAGCTTGGGGACACTCCTGGATATTCCCATGGGTGACTACTTCAACTCACAGATGGAGAAACTGAGACCTGAGGGCAGAAGAACTCCCCCAAGTCCCAGGGATAGTTAGGACTGGAGGGTTTGGGTGCTATCTATGCCTTCTCACTATACCTACGGCTCACTGCCTCTTCTCACTGCCTTTCTCTGTGAAAGCTTAAGACATTTCTGAGTAGACATAGGCAGTCTGGGAGAACAGGACATTGGGAACCCAAAGAGTAGAGAATAAAGGATTCTGCACCAATCTCGTAGGTTTGAATCCAAGCTTCACCACTTACCTAAAGTCTTGGGCGAGACATTGAACCTTTCTGTTCCACAATTTTCTCATCAGTAAAATGGGGATTATATTAGCATCTACATCACAGAGTCATGCTGAAGGTTAAAATAGGACCCACATAAAGTTTTGAAAGAACACCTAGCACACAGTACACATTCAATGAATAGTTATTCCTATTATCATCATTATTAGGATCATGATTAGATGTAGAGGGAAAAACGCCTCTTGTGATGTGGCACAGACTCCATAGACAGGCTCATATGCGTCCTCTCCCACTCCAACTCAGCCAAGAAACATTTCACTCCAGGCACAAACTGATTTTGGTATTGGGATGGTAAGATTCAGAGGTGCTTGGAGCCTAACTGGCTTAATCCATAATTTTTAGGCAGAGAAACAAATGTGTAGAGAAATCGAGGGATTTTTCTGAAGCTCCCAGAGCTATCTAGAAGCACAACTAGGTCTCCAGAACTTTCAACCTGGAGCTGGGACTCCATTCAATAGAGCACCCTCTCCTCCCACTACTTCAGGCTCATCTCCCTCAAAATGTAGTTCTGAAAAGAAGCCACCGGCTCTGTGACACCGAAGGGGTTAACTCAGAACCCTGCAGCTGGCTGCAGTGAGCTTCCTCAGTTCTGATTTTCATTTGCAAAACAAACAAACAAGAGCCTCTCTAATAACTCCCAGGCCTCCTTCTTTGTGGCTGAGATGCAGATTTTGTAAGAAGCAAGGCTTCCAAAGATCCCTAATTCCTATGCTGTTGTTGACAAAGGACTAAAGGCTGTTTCATGGCTAGTGAAAGCTTTACACTCTCATTCATTCATTCAAATTCACTCATTCACCAAATAATTACTGAAGACCTACCTCATGCTGCAGACATGGATACAGCCACCCTCCCAGCCCTCATAGAATGGATGGTATTCTTACAGTGTTTTCAGAGCTGCACCAACAGAGGCTAGCATGAGATAGGAACATGGAGGTATTCAGCAAATAAATGCCAGTCCAAGAGGAACATGGGATCATTTGGTTCAATGGAAGTCCAGTTCTCCAGGTTGAATTTCTAGTTTCTTGCCTGGTTCAGAATCACATTGGCACCCCAGATTGGCCATTCTTCTCATCCTCTCCTCCTTTTCCTCTTTTTCCTTCTTCCTCTTGTTCATGTTGTCTATCATGAGCTAAAAAATAAATCAAGATGATATATTGGGTACCCCCCTTTTTCTAGATGGGCAGTGGAGGACAGAGAAAACAGTCTATGCAGCCAAATCTTCACAGGTAGTAAGTAGGGAAACAGGGTTTGAACCCAAGTCTGTAGGCCTCCAGATCCTAGGCTCTTCTCTTCTGGTTTATTTGTGTCATCTCCTTTCATTTGTCAGATCAAATGTAGAATAAGGGAGGTTTAAGGCCCACCGTGAGTTTCCACAACAGCTAATATTTGGAGGAATTATAAGTTCTGGAATGACAGCCACTTTAAGCTGCAATGTAAATGTTCTTCTTTAGAAACATACCTGAGGGATTGGGAAAAGCAGGTGGGAGAAATGCTAGCTATGTCCTTACATGGTAGAAGGGGTGAGAAAGGTCTCTGGAGCACTGCTGAGAGGGGCACTAATCTCATTCATAAGGGCTCCACCCTCGTGACCTAATCACTTCTCAAGGCCTTCTTTTCAAATAGCATCACATTGGGGATTAAGTTTCAACATAGGAATTTTGGAGGGGGGGACATAAGATTTCAGTCTATAGCATCAATCAAAGCTTTATCTTCTCAAATAGATATTGTCTTATGTAATCAGGTTGAATTTGATTAGTACCTCCCTGTGTCCATTGAGTCCTATGGGAAGCAGATGGTAAAATGGAGTGAGAAATACAAGACATGTCTTAGGGGGTAATGCTTGTGAAAGATAAAAGCAGAGAAAACAGGAATAGGTAAAAAGAGCCTCAGATTACAATGAAGATCCAACAAAGTCTGAACCAACTTAATGAGGACCTCTTCCAGAGCTGAGATTTCCCATTAGAGGAGTCCTGCAGTGGGCAGAACCGGCCAGGCTCTGGTACTTCTCCCATGCTCAGTGTTTGGCTGGGGGCTCCCGAAGAAAGATGTGGCTTTGATTTAAAAGCTGAAGTAGATCTCAAAGGTGCTGCGGCTGAGGGCTGTCCACTGACTTCACTCCTTGCAGCTGAATGGCAAGTTATTTCTTGAAAGGAGACCTGAGTGTCACATCTTCATGGCTACCATACCCTTTTATACCTACTATATATGAAACACTGTATTAGGTCCTGGAAAGGGAGAAGGAAGGTAATACTTAATTCCTACCTTAAGAGAACTTACGGGCTGGGCGCGGTGACTCACGCATGTAATCCTAGCACTTTGGGAGGCTGAGGCGGGCAGATCATGAGGTCAAGAGATGGAAACCGTCCTGGCCAAAATGGTGAAACCCCATCTCCACTAAAAATACAAAAATTAGCTGGGCATGGTGGCACGCGCCTGTAGTCCCAGCTACTCGGGAGGCTGAGGCAGGAGAATCGCTTGAACCCAGGAGGTGGAGGTTGCAGTGAGCCGAGATCGCACCATTGCACTCCAGCCTGGGCGGCAGAGCCAGACTCCGTCTCAAAAAAAAAAAAAAAAAAAAGGGAGAGCTTATAGTACAGTAGGGAAGATAGTCTTCCATGTATCTCAATAGTCTCATTCCTGGATAACAAACAAAATCAAACCTAAAATGTTCTTTTGCAGATAAAATGGCCTAGAAGTAGCCATTAATTCTTATTGCAATTAATGTAAAATCCACAGCGTTTTTTTTTGTTAATAGAGAAGTAAAGTCAAGCAATAAGCCGGTGACATGTAATATAGGTCATAATTATATGCCACAGATACCTGTGAAATCTATTATTATACTAATAAATTGCAAAAATTCCTGCAAGAACGTGTTGGCAGCTGCCATGCCAATGCTTACCAGCTCATCAGTTGTTTGCAGGCTCTGCAAACATATGAATATTGGTTGAAAAAACACACTTGATATTTGCTGAAGAATGCTTATTTTCAGATTTGACACTGCATTGCAGTGTGTATACTTTATTTAAGAATATATCAAATAAAGATCTCTACCAAATAGTACCTTGATTAAAAATCTATGGTGATAATAATGAAGATTGGTATTCCAGTTATCTAATATTGCTTAATAAACCAGTCCAAGCTTAGTGCCCTAAAACAACAACTATTTCATTATGCTTATGGGTGCTGTGGATCAGGATTATGGATTAGGACAGCAGCAGGGTTGTTTTGTCTCTGCTGTATGATGACCAAGTTTCATCTGGGAAGATTCTTAAAGGCTGGGGGCTGGAAACATCTGGAGGTTCCTTCACTTATATGAGTGATGGCTGGGCTTAGCTCAGATATTGGATCAGAGAACTTACATCTGACTCCTCATTGTGGCTTGGGCTTCCCCACAGCATGGTGGCCTCATACTCTCTCCAGGAACCAGTGCTCCAGTGTTCTAGTGAACAAGGCAGAAGTTGCATGGCCTTTTATGACCTAGCCATGGAAGTCAGACAGCATCACTTCCACCATACTCTTTTGGTGAAAGAAGTCACAAACCCACCCAGAGTTCAGTGGGGAGGATACAGACGCCACCTCTTGATAGGAGGAGGGTCAAAAAAATGTGTGGCTATTTTAAAGAACTGCCACAGTTGTTGATGATAGTTATCACAAGCTATGTGCCAAGCTTGATGCTAAGCTATCGTGCATTTATTCTTCACAATATCCTTGGGAATTAGGTACTGCAATCTTCATTTTATAGAGAGCTCAGGTGACTTTCCCAGTCACACAGCTACAAAGTGGCATATCCATGATGAATTCCCAGATCTGTCAGGTTCTATAACCCTTCACACTAGTCTCAGTTTCATGCCTGGATGTCACCTCACCCTGACTCCTATTCCTGGGCTGGGGCTGGCATAGGAGGAGAAGGCAATTGAAATAAAAAAATCAAAAATGAATTCAAAGCATTTCCTGGCTCATGAAAATAATGTAAAATAATTTTATGATTGCTTTTATTCATATGCAAACTCTTAAGTTGAAAATACTATAGCAAAGTGGCCAGTGACAATGTTCCATTCATAATGTTCCATTGCCTCCTGCATTATATACGCTAACCTATGCTGCCTAGTCTTTCATGCCCATCTCTAGATGGGTGATAGTGCCTTGAAGGGGTATTAGATGCTCTTCCTTAAGGAGATGGCAGGAGAGAAAATGAGGTTCAGACCCTAACTTGCTCTCTATTGTGCCTGCATGGAATTGATCATGTGTGTCAGAACACCCTGGGACTCACTGTAACAGAGTCTGGAAGACACCTAAGCCTTGGTGGGAATGGGTCCCCTGCAGGGAAGATGAGAATGTCTCAGAGAAAGGAACCATAGCCTTGGTTTTGGTAGGTGGTCTGTGTCAGCCCAAGAGTTAGAGGGGACAGATCTGGGAGACAGAAGAGACTCAGTTAACCCCTCCCACCCCTTCCCTTATCCTGATGCCCACCTAGGCTGCACCTAAACATTTAGCATGGACATTGAAGGTGTTTCACTGTGCGTTTCTGCCACACTTCTGGGGTTTGAAGTGACTTTGGACAGCACAGTTTTCCTTTTCCACGTCCTAAGTTCATGACATCTCCTGAGATCCCAGCTGAGACTCCTCCTTCCCTACTACACTCTTGCATCCTCTGGATCCTCCTATGAGGCACCCGGTACACAGTAGGGGGCCCATTAATATTGAAAGAATTGTACTTGGCATTCCACCACTTTGAAATTGCAGATAATCTGTCTGCTTCGCACATATTTCTGCTTCCTACCTTGGTCTGTGTTGTCCGTCTTGCCTCAGATTTACTCCTCACTCTCTGCCTGACCTTGATCCTTTCCACCCCTCAGGATACTTCAGATTCACTTGGGGCTCATTTCCCTTGAGAAGCTTTCCTTACAGCCAGTCTTCCAAGCCTGGGTTGAAAGCTCCTCCCTCTTCGCCCTCTGTTTACTCACCTGGCAGCATACTGCGATGCATTCATGTGCAGGAGGGTTAAATTTCAATTTCATATGCTGTGATTCAGATGTACCCTGAAGAATTTAAGAAACAAAACATATCTTTCTTCAGTTTTTATATTTAATTTTGCTCTGGAGTGTCCATTTCCATTAATGGCATAAAAAATTAAATTTGCCAACTAGAGGTAACTATCTCTTTAATAAATATTCAGCCAATTCAAACTCCTGGTAAGGGCTGTATCTCCTTTTTCAAGGTGTCTCTGCTCTCTGCTTCATCTCCTGGGAGGCTTCTGGGTGTGGAATAGGATGACCCTCCACTGAGTCTTCACTGTGCTCTGCCATGGGAGGCTGGCTTTGCCTACCCACTAGATGTCATGCTGCCATGCCATTTTTGACCCCTGATGTTGGCCAGGGTTGGAAGGTCTCCCACATTGTGATCCCAGAAAACACTGTGTTTCTGGCCTCTTAACACTTCCCACTGGGATGCATGAGAACTTAGATGCTACCACAAACCCTGGGGAACTGAAGGCCTCCTCTCAAGCCATGCTCCCTAGTACCTCTCAGCAATGTACAGCCTCCATCCCAGAGAAATGGGGCCACCACCCAGATGTAGTTAGATTTTCCAAACCTATATAGATGATTCTGCCTCCACTGACTCGTGTAATGGGGTGCAGAGTCTTGCTGGGGGTTGATCAGAGACTCTTCCTTCCCTGACTGCCCAGCTCTGAATGTACTTTCTTCTTTTCCTGCCTGCCTAAGAGTAACTCCCATTATATCATACCCTCTTTTGCTGTTACTCTACAAGCTCTTTGTTCTAGGTGGAAGCCACCTTTCCATTCTGTAGGGCAATCACTCTGTTGCTTTGACTTAATGGCAAAATCGATGTAGCAGAATGAGAAAGAGAGAGAGAGAAGAGAAAAGTACATCAGTGGATAGTAATACACATGCACACATTTCCTTTGTTACACATTGAACTCCTTTGGAACAGCTTGGTACAAGGAGAGTGCTCAAGAAACATTTCCGGAATGGAATCTTTATTTCCCAGATACTGTTTTTGACTTCTAGAGACTTCAGTACCTGGCCTAGAATGCTCTATACTGACTGTTGGCTCCATGTCCTAGTGGGGAAAATGGAAGGGATATAATAATAAGGCTGGGCACCAGGTTGTGAGCATCTAGTATATATCAGATATAGTACTAGGTGCTTTCATTAACTTATCCATAAGTTCACTCAGCCACGCAGGATAGGCTTGATAATTTTCCTCTTACAGATGCAGCAACTGAAATTTGGAGAGGTTAAATTTGTTGTCTGAACATGCATTGCCAGTAAGTAAAAGGGCAAGGATTTGATCCCATGAATCTGGGACTCCAAAACCCAGGGCCTTTTCGCTTGATCACAGTAGAAGTAAGAGGTCTGCATGGAAACCCTCCTTTAGAACTGAAGAAAGACCTCTGGTCTCATATGGTCATGGAACTCAATCATTGTAAACCCCTATCTCCAGGAGGGCAGGCCTTGGAACTGCAGGTTAGAGTCTGGAATTCACTGGTGCCAAATCTCTGTTATATGGGACACACCATATGGAGCCTAGAATTCATCACAGCCTTTGGCAGGCAGCCTGGCCTGGAAATAACCCCAGAAGGCTATGTTTTGATCAGGAAACTTGCAGCTGTTTTTCAAAGTCATCTTTGGAATTTTTAATTTTACTTTATTTTTAGCAAACCTACATGCCCCCTGTTTTTTCATCCAGGGTTCTGATTTCCTTGGTGTTCTGGATTACCACATAGGTACATGGCATGTGTTTGCAGAGATATGGAGAGGTCTGGAGAAGTTAGCACACCTCATTGAGCCAAGCAAGAAACAGGGGCCTCGGGAAAAAAAAAAAAATCCCAAGTAACTTAAGTAAAAAATCCCAAGAAAAGTTAAACACATAAACAGCTGTGGCCTCATCACTGAGCCTTAAGGTTGCAGTGGGGAAAAGGAGGGAGGACAAAGAGGCTCTGAGCATTCCAAAACATGGGCACAGCTTCTCTCCCAAAGGTGAGGCATCTGGACAACTAGGCAGACAGCTCCATCAGGAAGGAGAGCCTGTCTGCAGAGGCCAGTTTGCCATGGGCCTTAGTGGGATCCGTAGGCTGCCGAGAGCTCTCAATTTTTGATTTTTCCAAGTGTTTCACCAGATCCCCATCATGCTGGGGCCAAATTCTTGAAAGCAAAGCCACATTTGAATTCTCCAAAGTAAAGCCACGTTTTAGGCTTTGGCTGCAGGGGCTTGGAATCAGGCCACTCTGGGACTTGAGAGAACAGCAATTCCATTTTTGAGGTTTGAGGAATCCTAGAGTTCCCCAGCCTGGGAGAAAAACTGATTTCAATCTGGTTTAATTCCTCATTCCCCTACCTCCATTCCCCACCACACTGACCTGGAGTTTTGGACGGCATACATAGCTCTCAGCATATTCTGATTTGAAGGTACTAGGAGGTTAATCAATGAAGGGCCAAGCTTTTTCTCGCTGGGGTAAAACTTCAAGATCTCATGAATGATCCAATGGAAATGATGTATATGTTTTATTCTTGTCATCCCCCCACCCTTTCTCCTTCGAGCGTGGCAATCTTTCTGCAGTTGTGTCTACATGACTGGTTCAGACAGGGAAAAAAGAGAGAAAAAAAGAAGCCACATGTAAAATTCAGTTTTGTTATTTTCTTTTGCCTACACGATACCACACAGATTGTGTGGTTGACTTATTTTTAACTGAGTCTTTGTGTGAATGAACCAGGCTGGTCAGTTGCTTGGGCAATATTGAGATCAGAAGCAAGATGATTAAAGGCACCAAAAGCAACCACTAATTTGACCAAAGACATCCCACAATAGCTAGACAAAGACATGTCAGTTTGGACTGTGTATAGACGTGGCTTGCCTCGAAGTCTGGTGACCAGCATTAGAACACCACCAAAATGAACCAAGTACACTTGGTACTTCTGGCCATCAAAATAGCTGAACCCTACCATTCAATCTGCCAGTTTAGCTTGTTTGATCCAGTTTTCAAGAAAGCTAGGAGAAAATGCTGTGTGTGTGTGTGTGTGTGTGTGTGTGTGTGTGTGTGTTTGTGTGTGTGTGTGTGTAGGGAATTTGGGGGTCATGTAAAAGGAAAATGGTTGGAAGTATAATTATGACTGTTGACTTTAATGATCAATTAAGTTGACCATGCAAAAATCCAACTACTTGTTAGTTGATTGATAACAAAGTGGCCAGTACAGCCAATTGTATAATTTTTTGCTCCTCATTTCTTTGAAGCTGAGAAATCTCTTGTCATACCTCCATTCATGTATGGCTTGAATAAGTTATGGGTTGAATTGTGTGTCTCAAAAAGATACATTAGAGTCTCAATCTCTGGGACTTCAGAATATGATCTTATTTGGAAATGGGGCCATTGTAGATGTTATCATGAGATCATGCTAGAGTAGGGGGGGCCCCTCATCAAAGATGATTGGTGTCTTTATAAGAAAAGGAGAAGAGACAGAGAGACAGATATACCAAAGAAAATATCATGTGATGATAGAGGCAGAAATAGGAGTGAAGCAGCTATAAACCAAGGAATTCCAAGGCTTGAGGGCTACCACCAGCAGCTAAGAGAGAGGCATTGAACAGATCTCCCCTATGAGTTTCAGAGGTTTCAAAGTTCGGTGATACTGATTTCAGACTTTCAGCCTCCAGAACTGTGAGACACTATATTTCTGTTTTTTTTTTTAAGCTACCTAGTTTGTGATTCTTTGTTATAGCAATCCTAGGAAACATATGATATGTCGGTAAAATAAAGGAAAAGTCAAGAAATAAAACATTCAAAATTATAAAATATTAGAGCTAGATGAGGCTTCAAAATTCATCTCAGCCACATTTTTTCACATGGATTCTGCACTACTCTAATCCTTCAAGATAGTACATAAGATGCAGATTCCATGTTTGTCATGCAAATTTGGAAAATTCTCCATATCATCACCTTAGAAACAATAAATGACTTCAGTAAGTCAAAGCCACTGACAAGTCCTGCAGCTGGGAAACTTCTTTCACTCTGAACAAGGCAGCTTTTCCAAATATCTTTGACGATGAGACACTTCTAGACAAGATGCTTATCTACTTCCCATGAAACTAGTCTTCCATGGATAATACTTTGGAACATCCAACTTTTTCTTTTTATAGATAAAGAACTTGAGAACTAGAGACAAAAGAAACTTGTTTAAAGTTATACAGTGTCATAGCCTGAATTCTAATTGTCCTATAGCAAAGACTGCAGTCATCTACCGTGGGCCTCCTGGCTGAATGAAGAATCCCTCATTCAAACAGCCAACTCTGCCCTTATGTGACTTTATGATCTTCAGAGAGTCTTGCCTTCTGCCAGGTTTCCATTTCTCCACTTGGAAAGTCAAGAGCCTGGACTAGTTCATTGTTATGGACTACATGCTTGTGTCTCTGACAAAACAAATATGTGGAAACCCTCATCCCCAATGAGATGGTTTTCGAAGTGGGGCCTCTGGGAGGTAATTAAGCTTAAAAGAGGTCAGGGGGGTGAAGGTCCCATGATAGGATTAGCATCTGATATGGTTTGGCTGTGTTTTCACCCAAATCTCATCTTGAATTGTAGCTCCCATAATTCCCATGTGTTGTGGGAGGTACTCAGTTGGAGACGATTGAATCATGGGGGCGGTTCCCCTGTATTGTTCTCTCATGATAGTGAATAAGTCTCATGAGATCTGATGGTTTTATAACCATCAGATAACTTTCACTTAGCTCTCATTCTCTTCTTTTGTCTGCCACCATGTAAGACATGCCTTTCACCTTCCACCATGATTGTGACGCCTCCCCAGCCATGTGAAACTATGAGTCGATTAAACCTACTTCTTTGGTAAATTGCTCAGTCTTGGGTATGTCTTTATCAGCAGCATGAAAACAGACTAATACAGTACCCTTATAAGAAGAGAAAAGGACCAGAACTCTCTCTCCA
Source organism: Homo sapiens (assembly GCF_000001405.40). Lineage (NCBI taxonomy): Eukaryota > Metazoa > Chordata > Mammalia > Primates > Hominidae > Homo > Homo sapiens. Next base: position 115,026,879 of record NC_000012.12, read on the forward strand.
TCATGTGAAGATACAGCAAAAATTCAACTATTCACAAGTCAGGAAGAGGTCCCTTCCATGAACCTAACTAACCATGCTGGCACCGTGATTTTGGAAATCCTGATTCCAGAACTACGAGACATAAATTTGTGTTGTTGTTGTTGTTGTTTTGCTTCCTTTATTTATTTATCTGGTTACATATACATCAGGAAAATTTGTGTTGTTTAAATCACCTAGTCTGTGGTACTTTGTTGTGGCAGCTCAGGCTAAGACAGTCATTTCTAAGATCCCTTACAGTATGAAGATTCTGTGACTATTGATCTCGCCTGTATGTGCCTAAAAGGTATAATTTATCCTTGGATGAAAATCTCTATCTAAAGGGCCAAATTATTATTTTGGTCAATGATGTATTACACTTCCCTTGTCCATTTCTTGTCTTGGCCCTGTCAGCAAATTCAGGGCTGATGAGTTAATGTATGTGAAAGTGCTTTGTAAACGGTCAGGCCTTGTCCAAATAAAAGGACTGATTTTTGTGTTATTAGGTTGAGAGCGTTGCAGCCAAGATGAAGGTGAAGTGTACCCACTATCCTGTTGGCATGGGTGTACAATATTTGGGTATGTGCATGATGAGTGTAGTGAACATGTCCACGTGCCCATGTATGTTTCAGTTTAACTGAAAATTTAAGAAGGAGCTGAGAATTTTTTTTTTTTAGACAGAGTCTCACTCTGTCGCCCAGGCTGGAGTGCAGTGGCGCGATCTTGGCTCACTGCAAGCTCTGCCCTCCGGGTTCACGCCATTCTCCTGCCTCAGCCTCCTGAGTAGCTGGGACTACAGGTGCCCGCCACCACGCCCAGCTAATTTTTTGTATTTTTAATAGAGATGGGGTTTCACCATGTTAGCCAGGATGGTCTCGATCTCCTGACCTTGTGATCCGCCTGCCTCAGCCTCCCAAAGTGCTGGGATTATAGGCATGAGCCACCGCACCCAGCCGCAGCTGAGCAATAGTTTTACAAACATGTGTTCTTGGAGTAGACTGCTCAAAGCCACAACCACACTGTAATACTTAACACCTGTGTGGGCTTGGGTGAGTAATTTATCCTCTCTGTGACTTTGTCTCTTCTTCTGGGAAATGAATATAATATTAATTCTTAATTTCCTGGGTTCATGGGAGGATGAAATGATGTCATGCATCTGAAGCCCACAGCCACATATGCTGGCTATGTAGATGCATATCCATTGCATGTGCATTTTATGTATGAAGCATGTGCAAATGTCATGTGCCTATTTGTGTTTCCTTTTATATTTTGCAAATTGCTTTATTCCCCATTGTTTGGCTTATGTTCCCAGAGGAAGCCATCAGAAACAAGAATAGAAGATGGCATCTTGAAAGCATAGCATTGAGCACTTGGGCTTTGGAAGACACTTGAAGGGTTATCTTTCCCAGACTTCCAAGGGCTGCATTCCCTCGTCAACATCTTAGGATCATACATTTGTGACCACTGCTTAGGACTTTAAAGTATGATTCACAATGGCCTGCATTGTGAATTTCAGCCAATGACCCAAAAGAACAGCTTTGCCTTAAGTAGGATTAAACCTTCCTCCGTGCTAGGGAAAAATTAAGAACGTGAGGAAACAGTTGCATTTCAGGCCACTCTAACCTTTCTGTCTCAGGCTCTGTCCTTGGCACGCTACTGATGAGTTTGCTAGAGAAGAGAAACGTTTGAGTCCATTATTTTAAAAGCAGCAGAAAATAGACTCTGGAAAAAAAAATTGTGCATTGGCCACAGAAACTTAATGGCCCATTTTGATCTCTGCCTCCTGCCTGGCTGAGGGTGTCAGGAGCCATGCTCTCAGCTTGCAAAAAAAATGTCATAATGAAGTGTTCAAGTAATGGAGAGTTAATGGAACTGGGAGCCTGAGTTATAACAAAAGGGCCTTAAAAGAGAGGTGGGGTATAATTTATTAACAGCAATATATGAAGCAGGGAGCCTGCAACATTTATGAGAAAAGAAAATGGGACCTTTTACAAGATCCAGGTTTTCTGCTCTTCATGGGATGGGGAGACACTCAATGGAATGATCCAGGCACCTCCCTTTTCTCTGTTAATGCCCCAAGCCCTCTTCCTCAGGGAAGACTGGCATTTCTGCTAAGTATTGAGGATCCAAGTTACCTGCTCTGCTTCTTCCTGGGATGGAGAAATTTCTTTATGATAAGGATGTTGACATCTCCATCAATGGAACATGGTTCTAGTAACTTCCAGTGCTTGTGGGCATTTCTTTCCTAATCTGGTACATTAGTCAGGATTCTGTTGGCTGTACGATGTAGAAGCACAATTTTCAGTGACCTAAGACTGACAAAAATGGTATGTGAGGTTTTTTTTGGATTCCCCACGAAGCAGAGCCTGAGACAAGGAGGTAAGTGGAATTTGTTTGGGAGATGATCCGAGGAGGTCATGGCAAGGGAGTGGAAAATGAGGCAGGAAAGAGAAGAAAGTCAAGAAAGGGCATCGTTATTAAGCCAGTCATAGTGAGAGCAACTGGAGCATTACCCCCTGGGAAATGCTGGCTGACAGCGAGTTATCTCAGTTGAGGGCCAAGGGAACTGGAGAAGTTATTTATTCAATTCCTGCAATAATTAGTTGAGGGCTGTTGCTGTCTTTCTTGTTTTTTAACTGTTACGTAGTGTTTGTGCACATTTATGTGGTACCTGTGATATTTTGTTGCATGCATGGCTGTGTCATGATCAGGTCAGGGTATTTAGGGCATCCATCATCACCTTGTGTATTTGTCATTTCCATGCACTAAGAACATTTCAAGTCCTCTTTACTAGCTATTTTGAAATATACAATACACTGTTGTTAACTATGTCACCTTACTCTGCTATCAAACACTAGCACTTATTCTTTCTATCTAAGTATGCGTTTGTTCTCATTGACCAACCTCTCTTTATCCCTCACCCCTATGTACACACCCTTCCCAGCCTCTGGTATCTGTCATTCTATGCTCTACCTCCATGAGTTCCACTATTTTGACTCCCACATATGAATGGGAACATGCAATATGTGTCTTTCTGTGCTTAGCTTTTTAAGTCTCTGGTACATCTGGCTTTTTCCACATGATGACGAGAATATTTCTATGTCCAGGGGCTGCAGAAGGGACCCTCAGACAAAATTACAGGCATTAGTACAGCCACAGAGTTCATAAAGGACTTTCAGTATGTAAATTGACTGCCAAAGAGACAGTAGATCAATCACAGCATGTAGCAAGGAGAGGTAGGTATTATTTGCCTCAAGTGGTTGAAAGTTCAAGTTTGGCTGGCTTCAGGCATAGTTAGATCCAGGGGCTAAAGAAGCAATAGCAGGACTTGGTCTGTAGCACTTTATCTTTGGCTCTTCTTTCTTTGGCTTTGGCTCTATTCTCAGGCAGGACTGCCCTTGTGACGGTGTGTTGACTGCCAGTAGCTCCCAGCTTATATCCGATTCGGCAACCCCAGTGAAAACAGAATATTTCCCCACCTCAAACAATTTCAGTAGAAGACCTGGGATTTGTTCTTATTGGTTAGTTAATAGTAAGGCATTTAACAATTAACTTAATCTGTCTGGGATCCACAAGTCTTCATCTGTACAAGGACACTGCAACACTGCCTTCAGCTGGAATCATTTGGTTAAAGGTGAACTCCATTCTACCTTCTTCAAGGATCTTTCCATATTTCATGGCACATTTGTGCAAACATTATTTCAAATGTTATCCTTTGACTAGTTTGGTTCCTCTGTCTATATGAGATCAACCTAAATAATGCTCCCATTCCTTGCTCAGCTTTTTCTTTGGCGCAGATGCCCTTTCACAGGCACCTATATGCTCTAACTCAGATGTGGCCTCTTGGATGAAACTATTACATTGGCAAGAACTGTTTTGATAACAAGTGGCAGAAAATTTGATTAAAGTTGTGTTAATATACACATGCACTTACCTACCTGTATATATACATGTGTATATGTACATATGCATATTAACATGTATATTAACACAACTTCTACTAAAATTTTTTGAGGTGGGGAAATATTCTGTTTTCACTGGGGTTGCTGAATTGGATGTAAGCTGGGAGCTACTGGCAGTTGATGTACCATCATATGGGCAGTCCTGCCTAAGAGTAGAGCCAAAGTTGAGGAAAGAAGAACCAATGATAAAGTACTACAGACCAAGGCCTGCAAATGCTTCTTTAGTACTTGGATCCAACTATGCCTGAAGTTAGTCCAAACTTGAACTTTCAACCAGTTAAGGCCATTAATACCTACCCCTCCTTGGTACATATGCACTTATCTACCCTATGTACATATGTGTGTGTGCATGTGTGCGTGTGCACGTATAGGGGTTTGTGTGTGTGTATTACCTACCATAAAGTTACAGGTATCCATACAGGTAGGTAAGTACATATGTATATAAATATATATATATATAGTATATATATATATATAGTATATATATATATAGTATATATATATACTATATATATAGTGTATATATATAGTATATATATAGTATATATATACTATATATATAGTATATATACTATATATATATACACACACACATATATATTGTAATATACACACATACTCCTATATACCTATAAAAATTTACTTACATGCATATGTTCACTCTCACATTAGCCTGTGAGTTCCTTGAGGATACATATGCTCTCACTGTTTTTAATATGCCCAGCATGGCCAGGTGCGATGGCTCATGCCTGTAATCCCAGCACTTTGGGAGGCTGAGGCGGGCGGATCATGAGGTCAGGAGATCGAGACCATCTTGGCTAACATGGTGAAACCCCGTCTGTACTAAAAATACAAAAAATTAGCCGGGCGTGGTGGCGGGCGCCTGTAATCCCAGCTACTCAGGAGGCTGAGGCAGGAGAATGGTGTGAACCTGGGAGTTGGAGCTTGCAGTGAGCCGAGATCGCGCCACTGCACTCCAGCCTGGACGACAGAGCAAGACTCCGTCTCAAAAAAAAAAAAAATGCCCAGCATATATTGCACACAGCCTAGCATACATTGGCTGTACAAGAAATCTTTGAGAGACAAAGGAGGAGAGAAACAAAGAATAAAGGACTCAATATTAAGTTCTATACTTCCTTCCAAGCTGACAGTTTGGAACTGGATATTGTACTGTCACCATGCAACATATTAATGTTGCACTTTCAACTCAATATGTTCCAAACTGAACTTACCATCTTATTTTCCAGACCTTACCTAGCTCACCACATTCCCCACCTTGCTGTTGTTGACTTCATGACATATTTGTATCTTGGCAACTTACCAGAGGTCTAATCTGGTGGTCCTAGACCCCGTGTGTCAGAAGGTCCATGAACTTCTAAAAATCACATAACATTTTTAAATGCACTTGTTCCTATGAATTGACTTGAGGAATTGGGTCCATGGATTTCATCAGACTGACCTAAGAGTGAGTCCTGTTTCTCTTTCTGAACTATTATGGATGGAATTGTGTCCCTGAAAAATTCCTAGGTCAGCGTCCTAATCCTCCAGCACCTCAGAATGTGAAGTTATTTGGTAATCAAGTTAAAATGAGGTCATGAGGGAGGGCCTGAATCCAGTATGACCCATGTCATTATAAGAAGGAGAAATTTGGAGATGGACACACACATAGGACAACATCATGGGAAGATGAAGGCAGAGATTGGGGCAATACTTCTATTAGGTTGGTGCAGAAGTCATCGCAGTTTTTGCTCTCAAAAGTAATGGCAAAAATCACAATTATTTTCATTACTTTTACAGCAACTTAATATAAGCTAAGGAATGCAAAAGATTGCCAGCAAATGACCAGAAGCTAGAGGGGAGGCATGGAACAGATCTTCTCTCACAGCCTCAGAAGGAACTAGCCCTACTGACAGCTCGATCTCAGACTTCTAGACTCCAGACTGGTGAGACAACATATTTCTGTTGTTTAAGCCACCCAGTTTGTGGCAATTTGTTACGGCAGACCAGCAAATGAATACAGGATCTCTACAAAATACACTCACCTTTCAGGCAGGCCAAGAGGATTGTTTACTGTCAGAGCTCCAAGCCCGGAACTTACTCACACACCAAAAAAGGGGCATGGAAGTGGGAGCAAGGATGGAGTCACGATCCCAAAGTCCCGGAGCATCTTCTCCACACATTCATGAGAGTCAGGCACAGGTTTTTATCTCATGCCCACATTCAGGGGGCCATCATCCTGAGCCTGCACCCCCAGAGAAAGTGAGGCCCAGGAATTTGTGAGTTTGTTGTTGCTTGTGTTACCGAATATCCATGAACTGCAAAATGGCACCATGACCTAATGAAGTATTAACCCTGCCTCATCACTGCACATCAACCATGAAAGCAGGCTCTTCTTGGCCAGGGCTGTTTCAAGGAGATTTAGGAATATATTTGAGGCTTCTGAAGGATAGTTGGAAATTAGGGGGTCTGCAAATGGACCTCCAAGAACTCAGGACAGGGGACATGGACCAGAAGCACCCCCTGATCTGCCTGGGGTCTCCAACATACTGTTCTTCCCTCCCACCCCTTTCAAGGGCTATCCAACGTTGGAAAGAATAAAAACTCAGAGTCAATAGATCTGGGTTTACATCACAGCTTTACTCATGAGACATGAGACAAATGACTTAGTCCTTCTGAGCCTCAGTTTTCTCCTCTGTAAAATGGGAATAATCATTGTAGATGCTTCACAGAGTTGTGAAAACATAATGGGTATCTATCTATCTATCTATCTATCTATCTATCTATCTATCTGGAATGAAAATGCACCTGGCTCATAGTAGACACTTGTTAACTCGAAGCTGCTTTATTTTTGTTGTTGATTTCTTATTGTGATTTTTTGTGACATTAAAAGGCAAAGTTTACTTTCAGAGCTCCAAGCCCGAACTAACTCACCCACCAAAAAAGGGGCACGGAGGTGGGAGGGAGGATGGGGGTAAAACTAATAGTTGTCAGCCTGATCCCATTGATCTCTTCGCTCTTCAGAAAGTGGGAAAGTAGGAGTAGGTAATTCAAATAATCACCATTTATTGCCTGCTCTGGGTTAAACATGTTATATGTATCATCCCAATATTTCTAGCAACAGCCCCCTGGAGTAGGTACTATTGGCCTTATTGAGGAAACAGAGGGTCAGAGAAGGTAAAAACCTTGCTTGTGTTCCACAGTTGCTGGGAAGTGGCAAATCTAGGATTTGAGCCTTGTTCACAGGACACCAAATGCCATGATTTTTCCATGACACCACACCCAGAACCCCTGTTTCTCATGCACCTTAGTCTTGTATAATTTCTGGGGGTGAAAGGTCAGGGGTCCTGGTGCCCTAATCCAGTTCTTGGTCTGTTTTTCCCATGAGGTCTTTTGATCCCCTTGTGTGTCCACCCAGTCCCAGCTCCAGTTGCTGGGAGGTCAGCGTCCCCCCACTACCTGCGGACTCCAGAGGCCAGGAGCTGTGTGGGCTGTGCCTGTAAAGCAGTTTGATGATGTGCTAAGTGTCACTGCTTAATGAGCTGCAGGACCAAACACTCAAGGTAGGGGCCAGGGAGGCCGGCGCAGCCCCCAGACACATGCTCCTGCCCAAGTTCAATCGTAAACGTCACAACCAAGGGTGGGTCTGGAGCCACAGGCTCCAAGATCCCCAACTTCCGTTGCCCCATTGGCCTTGGACTAATCCACTCTCCACTCAACAGCTCACCCCGATTTCCTCCTCCACCCTCCCACCCTCCAACCCATCCTCGGGGCCGTCGCCATGGGAGGTCTCCTCTCACAACAGGGCAAAGCAATTAAGGCCAGACGGGGCAAATTAAACCAGAAAGAATGAATTTCCTCCAGTGCCAGAGAAATATTTGGGGCCTTACTTCCAAGGAGGTACTAGTAGGAGAGATGGATGGCAGTTGAGTGGTGAAGATGAAGACTGATGGAACAGCATCAAGGAACAGGAAAGAGAAAAGAGATATGGGTATCCAAGAAGTGCATGGCTTCCTCAGGGCTGCCTCTGGACAAAGGTTAAAGTGGAAAGAGCAAAGAAAGGGAGAATGGCAGAACCAATCACTGGTTCATTCACTTATATGTCAAACATTGACCTGGGTGTTTGGAATACGAAAGAAAACTGGAGATCACGGTGAATTGATTAGGAGCCAGGGCTTTGAACTGGCTGTTTCCATCATTCATTAGTGGGGTAAACCTGGGCAAGGGACCCGACTTCCCTGAATCTCAGTTTCCTCATCTGTAAAATGGGAATTAAATGCATGTGTTGTGCCAGGGCTCTGGGGGAAGATTAATATAATTTCCATAAAATGAACATTGCTTTGCACAGATGTTCCAGAAAATTAATACATCATATATAGGCTCCTCTATATGTGTCTGCTGAATGAATAATTATAGTTTGTGCTTATTAGCATTTTATACATATTAACTTCCTCAAATATTTGAGGAAGTCATTGTTACTATCTCCCTTTCTTTTGAAACGAGAAACTGAGGCAACTAGGGGTTAAGTTACCCTCCAAATTCACACAGCTATTAAGTGGTCCAGGTGGGACTTGAACTCAGGGAGTTTAGCTCCAGAAACTGTGTACCTAAAGGCCAAACTACACTGTCTTCTGGTAATGCAGGGAAAGAAAAAAAGAAAGTAATTATATGTTTAATAAGTGGGGATTGGGTCAGAAAGTCCTTGGAGATCTCTTAAAAGAATTCAACTCAGTAGCTTTCCCTGCCCTTGGCTGGGAATGGACACACACACTCAAGCACACAAACACACCCTTGTGTGTGCATGTATTGGCCTCTGCTGACCTCCAGCTGCTACCCTCTGTGTGCCCTGCAGCAGTGGCTGCTTCCTGGGAAGGGGTGGATGGAGTTGCTATGTGGATGCCTAAAGCCAAGTCGGCTGACCCTGTAACCCCACCTCCATCCCACACTGCCCTCCTCCTCCCTACTTCCCCCCTTCCTTCCCTCCCTCCAGGGCTCAGTACAAACATGGTATCCAATTTGTTACCTACACAGGA